>NC_000001.11:229062909-229214424 GCF_000001405.40 Homo sapiens
CTCTGGACTGTTCTGTGAGAGAGAAATGAAAGTCTATCCTGCCTGGCTGCCCTGGTGCCCTCACTCATATACAGGACAGGAGAGAAGAACAGGCTTGAAGCTGCTCCCACATTTTTTCCAGTCCCACTAGTCGGGAACAGAAGCTAGGACTGTGACAATGCAAGATGCTGGGGAGAAGAGGGAGGCCAGGAGAGGTGCCCCTACTGGCCAGTGTCTCAGTGCCACCTTAACATTGTAGGGGTCAAGGGAAAACTTTCCCTTCGCTCTCTGAAGGTTTGCTGAAAAATCAACTGACAAAAGGCAGATCAGTAAGAGAAAAGGCAGACAAAGTTACTAACATGCACAGAGGAGAAAATCACAAAGTGATTACCCAGCCACCCAGTGGGGTACATCTTGAGGTTACAGAGACAAGAAGACTCAGAATATGACCAAAAACAAGCATTGGAGGTGCAACAGGTTATGGTGACAACACAGGTTATGGAAGGGGGAGAAGAGGAGGCCTGGCTAGCAAAGGTCACCTTGTTACATACAAGAAACCCCACAGGTAGCAGCCCTCAGAAAGCATAGATGGTGAATGTTTCTTTCAGATCTTTAAAGATGTCAGTTCTTTAAAAAAGAACCTCAGTTAATCTTTCCTAGATCCAGACAAGTGAGGGCCTCCGAGACAGCTGCGTCAATCAGATTCTCTGCAGGTGCAAATTTCCCCACAAATGACAGCCTTGCAGGGCTGCTTCTGTATGCGGGCTCTGTGAACAGCAATCTCAAAATGTGTCAAAGAAATATATTTTGGGATGAAATATTTTGATTTTCTTCAATATGCCAGTGAGACCCCTGAGAGCCCGGAGGTAAGCCTGGAATTTACAACTACCCTGGATGGCTTCTGCCCCCTCCTATTTTTGTCCGTCTTCCCTCTCCACTGGCACTCACTTGACCTCAGACTTACAAAATCTCCAAGGTGTCAGCTATTTGATTCAATGAATTAATCTGAGCCAAAGACAAAGGGCCCCAAAAAGGAAGCTCTGTCCTATTTCAAGTTTGCTACCAATGATTTAGAACTCATTGATGTTGAATATTGTCTCTTTCTTTCTGTGTATATTAAGAAAAGAACATACTTTTCTACTTCACTCTATTAATATGATATATTATAATATATGAAATCATTTTTATTCATTCTGAATTTGCTTTGTTTTCCTTGGTCTCAAGGTACTAAAAAAAGAGCCCAAGGCCAGTACTCGGTGCTTGGACCCTGGGAGGTGAAGTTTATCTGCTCTGGCAGCATGAAAGGCCAAAAGGGAAGCATTTTACTGATTTTTTTTATGGTTAGGACTAATTGGTAATCTTCCAAGATAGATCAACCTGGATAAAATGATGATTTCCTAGAAGGCAAGAAATCCTTGCTTGATAGTATTTTTTGTATGAGAATTCACTGCTCACCACAGGAACTTTCGTGAACAAGAAAAATATTTACTTAGATGAGACCCAGGAGATTATTCAGTTAAAACAAAAAAGGTCAAGGTCTAAGGTCTTTTTTCTGGCCAACAGGGCACCATGAAATGCCCAGAGACCTGTCTGTAGGATATGCAGTTGAACAAGTTGCAAAGATTCCAATGAATGAGTCAGAGAACAGAATCCTTCACTGCCGAGAGTGGTCCATAAAAGAGTTGTGCCTACTTTGATCTGGGAATATTCGCTCTCTAATCTGAGAGTTCTATGGAAGCCTTGACTTTGAGGTCAGCGTCATTTGTTTTTATGTTTAGGGTGAGGCAAGGCCTGACAAGGCTCCCTGGAGAATAGGGTGTGGCCAGATCAGAGGCACGTTGACCAATTCCCAGCCCTTCCTCCCGTAAGAATCAGCATGAGGGAGAGAGCCCAGGAGTGAGGAGGGGGGTCTCAGATTGCTGGCCTTCAAGTTACAATGCCACCGCATCAGCAACGGTGCATCAGCAAGGGAAGCAAGAGCAGAGGGGGAACAGAGCCAGATGATGGGGGAAGAGAGAACATGGGGATGAAGAGCAGGGAGCAGCCATAGAAGCTGAAATTAGGCCACTGTGGAGGTGGCACGTCTGAGAACACACCTGCTTGGGCCGCGGGGCGGGGGCTATGAGAGACACATTCTGGGGCTTAGCTCTGCCTTTTTTTTTGGTGCTACCCAAGCAAAGTAGCATATGGAAGAGATTTGATTTCTCCCCAAATGTTGATGCTAATTTTGAAATCTTTCTATTCTAACAAGACATCAAACTATATAATAGGAGGACACACAGATTGCTCCCCAAGTGACAGCTTTCGAAAGAAAAGCCCACATGTTCTGTACGATGTTGTTCCAAAAACGGGTGCTAAGTGGGATGAGGTGCCACCTCGGCACGTCTACCACCTGAGGCTCCAGAGCGGCAGGAGGCTGTGGCCAGGGTTCGCCCCAGAAGCTGCATGCTTCCTAGGGTTAAATGTCATTCTAGACTAGGAAGAAACACCTGATGGTAGCATCTTCTGCCAGCAGGACTTGATTACAATCTCTCCAGAGAAATCTACCTCTCCAGAGAAATCCCTGTAAGGGTGCATAGCAGCCAAACAGCAGTGAAAGAAATGTCTAGCACACTCATCTTCAGAGTCCATGTGAATTGCACTGTGATTTATCTTAGATGTCAACTTTAGTGCATGGGAAAGAGAGGAGTGAAAATCAAGATGGAACTTGTCAAAAGTTTCATAGTTGAAGAGCCAATCCAGCCTCCTTTCCTCCCTCCCTCCCTCCCTCTCTTACTTCCTTTTTCCAAGTGCTGACCAGTAGGATACTGCCAACTTCCAAATTTTAATTCTCTAAAATGCATTTTCTCCTTCAGTTACAAAGGAGCCATCTCAAGGATCAGAAAAAGTCTCTCTGGACTTTGCTCCCATGTATGCAACCGAGTGGCATCTGTTTGCAGAGTGTAAGATGCCGCCTCAGGCGGCCCTGCCACCCTTCAGGGCCAGCCCTCTGGCCCCTGTGTCCAGGCTGAGAGCATGACCACAACACATGCAAGTGTCTTTCCCTGCAGCCCAGCCTCCAGCCCATGCATGCCTTTCCAATCAAACCTTCCCACTGGGGGTTTGTATAGAGAGAACTCTTTCTAACTATGCTTCCCCTCTACTCTCATACCACAACAATCATCAAACACAGACAACTTCTGTGGCCATATGTGAGTTTTTTTTACCACATGCTCCAAGCAGAGGATACCAGCTGGGTGTCCTCTATTTGAGTTCCGACACTATCTACATGGAGATAGTGTCAGATCCCACAGGTTGAGGGCTCAGTTCCCAAGACTGCCCCCCCACCAAACACACCAGTCGTAAGTCCAGACCTCCAGAACTTCTGACCAATCAGCTTCAAGAGGGGATCATGGGTGCCCTTCTTTGGGTTTGATTAATTTGCTGAATTGGCTCATAGATCTCAGGGAAACATTTATGTTTACCAGTTTATAATAAAGGATATTGCAAAGGATACAGACGAAGAGACGAGTAGGGCGAGGTATGTGGGAAGGGGTGCGGAGCTTCCATGCCCTCCCTAAGCGCCACGCTCCAAGAACCTCCATGTGTCCAGCTATGGGGAAGTTCCCCACACCCTGTCCTCTTGGGTTTTTATGGAAGCTTCGTGACATCAGCATTCCTTTCCCCGCTTTACAGGGTGGGACCCTCATAGGAGGTCTCAAGATGCACAGTCAGAAAGGCTGGGGAACATTTGAGTGGGAGGAAGGCAGGAGAAGGTCTGAAGCCTACCCGTGAGGCCTAACACACCCAACATTATAATAAAAGACTAACGAGGGCTATGGGAGTTATTAGCCAGGAACCATGAATGAAAACCAGTATCTGTCATAACACCATGGGGCTACACTTGCATTCACCACCCTCTGTGGCCAGCTCTGGCAACTTCTCCTTATTAGAAGTGAATCTCTTGACTGAGGTACACGTTTTTAAGATAAGCACCCTGGGAAGGATGGGAAACCTGAATGTCTGAACTCCAGAGGCTGCCCCAGAAAAGAAACCCTCTCCAGCCTCATCTGCTTTTTGGAGGCCACAGAGACATTCCCAGACCAAAGCAAGCAGGCCAGGAGCAACTTTTCCACTCCAGCCCAGAGGAAGCATCGCTTGATGTTGAGAGTAAGCTTTTTCCTTACCCATATTCTGTACAGAGAAGACCCACTTCTTTCCAGCTTCCATGCATTGCCTAAGCAGCCTTTATAAGCATAATAATGATGATTACAACCAAGATCACCTCCTCTGTGCCCAGCCCTGTCCTCAGCACTTTCTGTGCTGTATCTACTGAAATCTTATCACCACCCTGTGAAGTGGTCACTAGGATTCTTGTCATACAGAGGAGGAATGGGGGCTTCAAGAACTTCAATAACATTTGAGATGTCATCGTCCAGGGCACAGAAAGTATTTCAAAGCCAAAGCTCCACATGATTACATGATTCAGTCTCCTCAAATCCTGCATGAACACACCACCCCCAGACAGAACAGAGGAGCTGCCAGCCTCCAGGTTCTCCAGGGCTCCTGACCTCCGAGATGCGTTCTTGGGCTGTACTGGTGATGTTTTAAGCCACAGAATTGGCCTTGGATGAAGAATGTCCCAGAAGCTCTTCCCTAAGCCACATGGAGTGGCCTTCTCTGTCCTCATCCCTCCTTCTCCCCCCTGTCTGCTTTCTTGTCCCTTGCCCCTGTCCCTGTTCAGCTCTGCAGACCTGCTTCTGCACATCTCCAATCCAACACTCTGCTCCTGGCTCCTGACTTCATATATTTGAGTGTTGTTTTCTAGGTCCTCCTCCAGGCTGTGCATCAGGACAACAGTGGTCCCCTTCTCTGGCCCTCGTGCCTGCTCTGTGCCTTGCCTGGCCACCAATGCACCAGCCAAGCCTGTCCGGTAGTGCGGAAGCCAGCTTCGGGCAGCTGAGCAGGACAGCTGCTGACTCCCGGGGAAGTGTCTTGTAATTTCCACACATTCACCTCCATGACCATTGTACTTTCCTCCTCCCAACAGTCCTGGGAAACAGGTACCATTATTCCCATGTATATGGTAAAGAAACAAAAGCTCAGAGAAGCTGAGGAACTTGTCCCTGGTCTTACAACTCCTGAAGGGCTGCATGTGTCCTTGCACCCGGGTCTGCTGAGTCCAGTGCTCTTGGTCTTTCTGCTTTCCTGCTTTGCATAAACACCAGCCCCTTCACTGAGGCAGGGCAGGGCAGGCAGGAGCACACTCTAAAACAAATTCAAGTAGAAGGACCCCTCGGTAATGACCCTGCAATATGGTCTGGCACTGACAAAGCTGGAAGAGTCCTGGAAGCCAGGCAGAGAAGCATTGGAAAGAGGCAAGTTGAAGCTGAGTGCTGAGGGCTCCAAGGGTTAAGGAGTATTGGAAAACAGTGGTGGGGGTGGGGGGCACGTGCACACTGGAAGGAGGGACACGTGCAGACAGACAAGGGGCTTGCACAGGGATCAGCATTCGGGTTTGATCTTAAAGGCAGTAGTGGGGCAGGGAGGGTTCTTGAGGAAGGAGATGATGTAACGAAAAGTTGTGAGAGGAAGACTGTGTGGTCAGTTGCATAAAGAAGTGCTGCAGAGGGGGAAAGCCTGCAGTCCAAGAGCAGCCGGGAAAGAGAAGGTCATTGCAATCATCCGGCCTTTGCCAGGAGGAAGTCTCTTGCCGGGTAGATGAAACACCCACAAGTCTTCTCCCTAGTTTACCACATGATCTATCTGATGCAAAAGATAGGAAGGCCATAGCTAGGAGCATGAGAAGCCAAAATGTCTTGCATTGCCCCCCAGTCCAGGGTACACAGCCCATCTCAGTTGCTGGGGTGGGGTGGGGGAAAATGAGAGTCCCATGGGAGGGGGACCTCACATTGTAGCTCTTTCTGTCTCTGCCAGTTACAGGAAGAAGCTCTGAGGTTTTGCTTCTCTGAGGGTGACCCACATGCCACTGGCATCAGAAAATAGAGGAAGATCTTCAAAATGTGCATTCCCAGGCCCAGCTCCAGCACTGCTGAATTGAAATTTCTTGTGGGTGGTGAGAAGATCCCAGTCATATAAACTTTAAAAAAAAAACATGATTTTTTAAGAGCAATTTTTTAATCAAGGTTCACTAGAGAAATAGTCAATAGGAGATACAGAGAGAGAGAAGATGATAGATAGATAGATAGATAGATAGATAGATAGATAGATAGATACATACATACATACATACATACATACATACATACATAGATGATAGATAGACAGACAATAGATAGCTAGATGATAGATGGGATGATAGATAGATGATATATAGATAGATGATAGATAGAGAAATAGATACATAGATGATAGATAGATAGATGATAGATAGGATGATAGATGGAATGATAGATAGATGATATATACATAGATGATAGATACATAGATAGATGATAGATACCTAGATAGATGATAGATACATAGATGATAGATACATAGATACATAGACAGATGATGGAATGATAGATGATAGATAGATAGATAGATAGATAGATAGATAGATGATAGATGATAGATGATAGATAGATTAGATAGATAGATAGTTGATAGATGATAGATTGGTAGATGATAATTAGATTGATAGATAGATAGATGATAGATAGATAGATGCTATAACATCTGTGTGAAGGCTTTTGTGTGGTCAGAAGTTTTTAACTCATTTGGGTAAATACCAAGGAACACAATTGCTGCATCATATGGGAGGAATATGTTTAGTTTTGTAAGAAATCACCAAACTGTCTTCCAAAGTGGTTGTACCATTTTGCATTCCCACCAGCAGTGAATGAATTCTTGTTTCTCCACATCCTCACCAGCACTGGGTGTTGTCAGTGTTCTGAATTGTTGCCATTCTGTTAGGTGTGTAGAATCTGAACTTTTAACAAGTTCTCCAGGCATGTCTTACACTTTCTAAGACTGACAGCCACTCTGCAGAGGTGTATCCACTATTTGAGAAATTGGGAGCAACTTTGCTGAAGAAACTGGAACTTCAGAAAAGCAGCCCCAGGATCTCTGGAACTTCGGCTAAGGTTCTAAGTCTCCCAAAGGACCTCAGGGTCTGCATTTCATTTTGCTCTGCACGAGGTTAATAACCACCAAGTAATGCCTCAGCCTGGGGGATCAGAAACTCCTGGAACCTACCAGAAAGCTTGTGAAGAGTCCTCAGGTGATGGGGAGGGGTTGCTTTATTTGATTGGTTTTGTTTTTGAAAAGGCTAGGTTCAAACCTCCAAATGTATATTCCAGCCACCATCAGCCCATACACAGAATGCTTTCAGCTTTGGTCCCTGTTAGTTATTGCAGGAACATAAAGCAGCCACCATGCACAGCAGCTTCAATCTCAGGCACTCTGTGAGCTTGCCAGAGTCATGGTCCCCGGCCCACCCCCAAGGGCTGGGTGACGCACGAATCTTGAGTCAACAGTTTCCAGCACTGAAGAGGCACTGGCCTTGAGCCAGCTATCTCCAGCACATGCCCAGTTGCCCCAGGGCTCATGCTTTATCCTTGGAGGGCTTGGCAGCCTCACGGCCTGCTCTTGTTCAGCTTACTGAGTGTGGTGAGTGCCCAGCTTCCCTTTCAAGGGCTGAGCAGAGGCTGGTCCGCCTACAAAGTTAAAGCAACTTTAACTGAACTGTCTTGCAAAGCAGTCCCAGGATCTGTTCATACTCTCTGGACATTAATTGCTCTCTGTGGTGGGTGCCCCTTCTTTTTTTATTATTATTTTATAATTTTATTTTATTTTAATTTTTTTTAGAGATGAGGTCTCACTCTGACACCCAAGCAAAGGGCAGTGGTGTGATCATAGCTCACTGCAGCCTCCAAACTCCTGAGCGATCAAGTGATCCTCACACCTCAGCCTCCCAAGTAGCTGGGACTACAGACCTGCGTCACCATGCCCAGATAATATTTTAAAATGTTTTTTTTTTTTTTTTGTAGAGACAGGGTTTTGCTTTGTTGTCCAGGCTGGTCTCAAACTCCTGGCTTCAAGCAATCCTCCCACTTCAGCTCTGGTTGATGGGAAGTAGTGGGATTTGATCTCAGTTTTCTGTTCTCAGTTTGTTCAGTGTGTCTAGGAAATGGGGCTGATGCATCTAGGATAGATCAAAAAGAATGCACTCATTTCAATACAAATAAATTGCTGCAGCCTCATTCTGCTAGGGAGGTGGAGTCCTGATGCTTTCCCCCAGCTACTCTGGAGAACAAGACCAAACCAATCCCTCCCTCTCTGTGTGGATCAGTTTTCATATTATTGAGGACACAGTGCACCTCTAGGGGATTGTGGGGTCACTTCGGTACCAAGCCTAGCTCAGCAGATTTAATTTAAGACAAGCCTTAATAGGCACATCATAGAGGAGAATCTGCCAGACAGACTGAAATCTGGGAAAAAGATCTGTAGGTGAGGCCACTAAGACCCCACTGCAGCCTGGGGAAAGGAGAAACTCATTTTCCCCCACCAGGCCCTAAGACAGTCTTTTAGGGTAGAATAGACTCGCCAGACATGGGATGCGGGGAGCAGAGTTGGAGCCTGGTCCCTGCTGAGAGCGGTGTGCTTTAATCCCTTCATTCCTTTGGACTTCTATTTTCTCCAAAGAATAGTCAGTGCAGCCAAAATCTAACCCAGGAAGTGTAAACTCCTCTGCCAAATGTGGGAGAGCCGCTTAGGATGACAGTGATGGGCCTGCTGTCTTCATGAAGGATGTCAGTAAGACCCTACAAGAGCAGAGCCCTTACTGGTGGCCATGAAGCAATCCCAGTGTTTGTCTGGACCCTCCTGCAAACCCAGCTGTGCGGCTCTTCCTGGGTCTGGGAAGCCAGGATTCAGCTTATGACAAAGAGAAGTTCCTGGTCATGGGAACTATGGTCATGACCATAGTTCAGTTGTTCATATATCTTGTGTGATTTTCATTCAAAGTGAAAGCTCAGCCTGTTGTAGGCAGGAAGCAAGCAAAGACAATGGCAGAGACCTGATGAGTTCGCCTGCTGGGGCTGCCCAACACAGTGGCCCAGGCTGGGTGGGAGGCTGAGAACCAGGCGTTGGCAGGGCTGGTTTCCTCTGAGGCCTCTCTGTGGCTTGGAGATGGCCATCTCCCCACGTGGGCTGTCTCCCTCACATGGTCTTCCGTGTGTGTGTGTGTGTGTGTGTGTGTGTGTGTGTGTCCTCATCTCTTCTTATAAGGACAACAGTCGGATTGGATTAGGCCCCCACTAAAGACCTCATTTTATCTTAATCAGCTCTTTAAAGGCCTTGTCTCCAAACAGTCACGATCTGAGGTGCTGGGGGTTAGGACTTCACCATGTGAATTTGAGGGGACCCAATTCAGCCCCTAATACCTGATGAGCTTCTCTCTTTGCTGGCATTTCCACCCCCATCTCTCCCTCACTCTGACCTCTCCAGGACTACAGCAGGGATGGGCAGCGCTGTACCAGGCAGGGAGGGATTGTGTTTGTCAGCCTGAGATCCAGCTTTGGAATGCTGGCCATGGCCTATGGGAAAACTGTCTTCCTCTCAGGAACGTCTTCTTGGGTCCCTGGGGAGCCCTCTCCTGATTTCTGGGAACCTCTCACCCCCTGCTCTCTTGATGAGGGTGACACACCATCCATGCAGTCACCATCAACTCCCGTTCAGCCCTAGATTCTCAGAGGCTCACCTCCACACAGGGCAGCCGGGGGACATTCTCTGAGGAGTGTAAAGGGCAAGGACATGGAGGAGAGCCTGGGCCTGCTCTGTCACGTCCTTTCTGCTGGAAACAAAGGTGCATCCCTTCCCAGGGTGGACAACTTCCCACCAGCACCCTTGGTCTCACTCCCTCTCCTTCACCCCCGAGATTCCATAGGCCAGGGCAGACCAGTCCACTGTGTCCCCATCAGTGCCCCCACTGTGTCTGCCCAAGGCCCATCTCCCTAAGCTGGAGGAGAGAAGATGTTCTCCACCCTCCCCACAAGGAGAAGGACTCACTGCACACACTCCAGAGAATTCTTGTCGGGGCGCGGTGGCTCACGCCTGTAATCCTGGCACTTTGGGAGGTCAAGGCAGGTGGATCACCTGAGGTCAGGAGTCCGAGACCAGCCTGGCCAATGTGGTGAAACCCTGTCTCTACTAAAACTACAAAAATTAGCCAGGTATGGTGACACACACCTGTAATCCCAGCTACTCGGGAGGCTGAGGCAGGAGAATCATTCGAACCCAGGATGCAGAGGCTGCAGTAAGCCAAGATTGCACCATTGCACTCCAGCCTAGGTGACAGAGTGAGACTCCAAAAAAAAAAAAAAAAAATTCTCCAACTGCCCGAGGATCTCCAGCCTCTTTTCTAGGATGGCACCACACTGGGTCCAGAGACCTCTGGAGCTGGCTCCCGTCTTTGGAACATGGGGGTGCTGGCTACTTACTGACTTGTGCCTCATGTGAGACTGAGGCAGAATCGCACAAGTGGACATAGAGTGTGGAAGAATAGCCGATGGAGGCTTAGGAGGGAAGGAGGGGAGGAGGGTGAGGGGTAAGGGGTTACTCAATGGATACAGTGCACATCTGAGTGACAGTTACACTAAAGCCCAGACTTCACCACTGCACAACATATTCATGTGACAAAACTGCACTGCAGCCCTTAAATTTACACAAATAAAACATATAAAAATAAAAGTAAGTAAATAAATGCACATTATCAGGGTGGAAGCGGGGTGGGCAGGGAAGCTTGGCTCGGCAGTCACTCTCTGTGGGAAGCGTAATGGGTGGCTGATAGGACAGAGGCAGCTTTTTCCTTCCTAAACATGGGGCTCTGGGGCCAGGCAAGCCAGCACCGTGGGCTCAGGGCTCTGTGGGCTGAAGACCTTCACTCCCATAGGCATGGTGAACCGAACCATGCTTTTCTATGGCATTTGCTCAATCCTATTCAAGGACAGACCAGTTAAGGCAGCAAAACATCATCACATTATGGACTGGGCATGGTGGCTCATGCCTGTAATCCCAGCCCTTTGGGAGGCCGAAGCGGGTGGATTACTTGAGGCCAGGAGTTCAAGACTAGCCTGGCCAACATGGTGAAACCCCATCCCTACTAAAAATACAAAAATTAGCTGGGCATGGTGGCACACGCCTGTAATCCCAGCGACTCGGGAGGCTGAGGCAGGAGAATCGCTTGAACCCAGGATAAAGAGGTTGCAGTGAACCAAGATCGTGCCTCTGCACTCCAGCCTGGGCGACAGAGCGAGACTCCATCTCAAAAAAAATAAAATAAAATAATCACATTATGTTTTAATATGATTAATAATAATCACATAAAATGTTTATAAATACATAAAGTTCAAAGGAAAAACACAAGCCTACAGGCAGGAGAGAGCACGTGTGAAGGAGTAAGGAAGAGGAGTGGGCACCCCAGCCCACAGGAGGGCAGAGGGAGCTCAGAGGCGGCCGGGGAGGCCACACTCAGGAGGCTGTGTTTTATCCGCGGGTGTCCTTCTTCCAAGGGTTGTGAATCTGTTCTGAAATTGCCTTAAACATACTAAATCTAACGCTCCCTATCTAAATCACGGTGTTAAACCTTCCTCAGCTTACGGCATCATTCCTGATGTTTCAAGCTAACAATCCCTTTTAGGCTTGTCTGTTCTTTTACGGAGGACATGCTGTATGTCTTTTCTAATCCCAGAATACTAGGATCCTTTTTCCTTGATTAGAGTCCCTGGCTTTCCTTTTCCTCTCTCTCTGTGGATGGATGCACCAAGCAGCAGAAGTCCCAGAGCCTCCACGTTGCTCACAACTCCCTGGATGCCTCTCACCAGATGGGCTTTCTCCAGTTGGTCTCACTTACCCTGACTGTACTCTGGTGTGGAAGGCAAAGGAGTGAAGAGTGAAGAGAAGGCCAATCTCAGAACCCTGGCCACGCCTTTAGTTACGGCTTTTCCTTTGGGGGGCTGGACTTGAATAAGCTTAAGTTACCATTTCCTCAGTTGGTGGCCCAACACCATCATCTACCCAGATGAGGCTGGCTTTCTCGTGCAGACATTCATTCTCCTCTGTCCCCTTTATCCCTGCCCCCAGTCCCACCCTCTCATCATCACACTCTCTTACTATGGATCAGCACCCTCCCGCCCTCCCGCCATGCCTGTCTGTGTGTAAGTGTGCATGCACGTGTGGCTACCAAATGTGTAGTATTGCTTGGTATATATTTGGTTTACATAAATAATTTACTGTCTGCCTCATTATTTAACTTTCTTCGTTCAGCATTAGGTTTTTGAGTTCTGTCAACGTTGAAAAACTGAAATTTAGTTCCTTCCTTTTGTCTCCCCCAAGGTCATTTAGATCCAAGAAGTCCCTTGTCCTCACTCTGAGGGGCTGGTGCTTGGGGAGGACAGCATCTAGGCAGAGTCATGAGAGAAGGGAGGTCCCTGCTGGGAGAGAGGACAACACGAATGAGGGACTGGGTGTGTCACCAACAAGGTACACTCAGAAGAGAAATACTCAAATTACAGCAGGGAAGATTGAGATCATCTGTAAAAGAGAACTTCCTGGCATCCAGGCTTACTGAATTCTGGACTTGCTGGGAGCTGTAACGGGCCTCTGTCTCACTGCCTTTAAACAAAGAGCAGCCTTTTTTGCAAGCAGACTAACCAAATGGCTTTCCCATCCCATTGTTTTCTGATTATTGAATGTTCCATGGACAGCAAGAGAAAAATTCCAGCAGGTCTAGAACAAAGGGATGGGAATGGTGGAGTACACCCAGGTTTCCCTGGTGTTTCTGAGATCCCAGGAAGTCTCCCCTGGGAGCATCAGCCAGGGTGCCCTTCTGAGCTCACCAGGTGTTCACCACACTATTTAAGACAGTAGTCTTAAGAGACACTGTCTCTGACACACTGTCTGTACTTTCAGGATACAACGTATGTTCACTGAATAAACCTTGGATATACTCTACCTCCCATTCCATTTCTAAAGCCTAGCAGTATTAGCCAATATTCGCATTACCCTTGGTCTACTTATTTATTCATTCATTCAGCAAAGATTTACTGGGTTTGTGCCAAGCCAGGAACTGTGCCATAAGCTCAATGGATAGATAGAAGCTGTCCCTACTCTCCGATGATTTACATACAATAAATAAGTCAGGCAATTACCTGTGCCAATGAAATATGGTAAGCTAAGTCAAGGGAGAGAGGAAATTCTGTGGTGTGTAGAGGGCTGATGTTTTGGAGGGGGTCAAGGATGGCGTCTGATTCTGGCAGGGTGACATCCAAACTGAAATGAGAAACAATAATCAGGTTAAACAAAAGGAGACAGAAGAGCAAGGATCCCAGGCAGCAGGAACAACTGATAGGAAGGCTTGGAATCAAGGGAGGTGGCGAGGATGTGAACAAAGAAGAGAACGGCTCCCAGCACCTAGGGATGCTGCTGCAGAGTGATGACAGAAGAGACCAGGGCCAGATCCTAAGCTGCCTCAAGCATTGAATTCTATCCAAGGGCAATGAGAAGCTGTTGAAATGTTTTCTGCAAGAAAATGACATCATGATCAGATATGTGTGTTTGCTGCTGTGGGGAGAAGATATCGGAGAAGGGCAAAGACAGGAGAGCAGTTAGGGATCTGTTTCAATAAACTAGACCTGGGTCTAGTATGTACCAGGCCCTGTACAGGTACCAGAAATAAAACAGTGAGCAAAAAGGGAAAGACTCCTGTTTTCGTGGAGCTTACAATTCAAAGGGGGATCCAAAAATCAATTGACCACAACGGTGAATGTGTAGTTATAAACAAAGGTCAATTTTCCAATGGAAAAGAACAGGATTCTTTGACAACATTTAGCAAAGGAACCTGCAGTGAGAAGTAATGGTGGTATGGACTGAGGTCTTTCTGGAAGGGAGAAAGAAGTGAAGAATGTCCTAGATACTTGGGTGTAGAAGGGGAAGGAGGGAGGAGTGAAGGGAGAGGACATTTTCTGGCTGAAGTAGCTGGGAGGATGGAGGTTTTATTCTGAGCAAGAGAGATCTCAGATCACAGGAGGCAGAGCTGACTCTAGTGATGGGCACATGGGGTGTAAGCACCCACAGCCATCCAGAAGGAGCTGTCCGGCTGGCAGGTCAGTATAGTTCCAAAGGTCGGCAGAAGGGGATGAGGTGTTGTCAGTTCACAGGTGGAAATAAAGCCTTGCGGCTTGATGAAGTTGCTCAGCAAAGAGGAGGAAAGAGCAGAGGAGAGACAAGAAGAGTTCCTACCGCTGAGCCCTGGGAACACAGCACTTAGGGGATAAATGGAGTACAAAGGAGGGCCTCTCAACAGGAGCCTGAGGAAAAGCAGGGAGAGCAGGGGAAGAAAACCCTGACAACTGGTTGTCAAAAAAGGGTGGGGGTGGGAGTGTTTCAAGAAGTGAGAGGAATACTGATTCAAACGTTGCCAAAAGAAAAGTCAGACTAGGACCATGAAGTAAGCCAGGTAAGCCGGGAAGGACAGAGGCCTTGTTTGAGCACCACTGAAACTCAGGGCCTCCAACAGGTCTGGCACATCCCAGGCAATTAATCCAAGTTAGTCGCTGCCCAAATTTCTGAAAGAAAAATGCAGACCTGTGTGAGAGCAATTCCAACAGAGCGGTGGGGTGACTATCAAAGAGCAATGAGTTAAGAGGTAAGAAAGCAGAGATGCCTGGTGTGGACCCCGCTTTCAAGCAGTTTCCTGTGAATCTGGAAAGAGACAACAGTAGGGAGGACTGATTTAAAGACCACCCAGAACCACGATGTGGAAGCACGTTCTGGGGATGAGGCCTGGAAGACAGCATAGTTGAGGCCTATCTTTGAATCCAGCTGCCACTCACTTATTGGATAACCTAGGTTAAAACCTCTCTAAGTTTCTGTCTCCTCATATACGAAATGAAGATAATGCTAGAACATTTCTTATAGGTTGGAAGAACTGAATGTGTAAATAAGTAGAAAACACTTAGCTATTGATATTATTACTTTTTTTAACATTGTTCTGGTTATATGGTGATCAAATAGTTGTGAATGTGTTCTGAAGACTCTAAAATACTGTCCAAATGTAATAATCCACATAGAAACTGAGTTGTATGACCTCAAACATTCATAGAACATTTGCACATTGACAAAAAGGTGTGTGTGTGGTAGGGGGTCAGTAACTGCTATTTGGTACCTACTTAATCACTCTGCTGTACTTTCACTGTTCTTTTTTTTTCTCTCTCTCTCTCTTTATTTTTATTTTTTGTAGAGATGGGGGTCTCACTCTGTTGTTCAGGCTGGTATCAAACTCCTGGCCTCAAGCAATCCTCCCACCTCAGCCTCCCAAAGTGCTGGGATTATGAGTGTGAGCCACTGTGCCTGGGCACTTTCACTCTTCATGGGACCAGTGGTGGCAGATCCAGGGATGTTGAACAAAACATAAAACAAAACAATAGAGGTTTCCCTCATGGCTGGAAGAACCTGAAATTGTCAGAACCATGCAGTTCCGACTCTGTTCTTCAATTATAAGGAGTTGAATGATCAATGGCAGGGACCTTAACTTCCCAACTTTTCCTCCAAGCAAGCAGTAAGTATTCAAAAAATAGGGGAGTAAGATAATCATCCTTTCTTACATTTATTAACAGACTTTTACTGAGCATCAAGAAGGTGCCAAATATCATACTCAGAACTCTTTTAACATAGTGATTTTAAAAGATTATAAAATGTATGAGCCCAAAATACCAATCAACACCAAAGACTTAGCTGGACAATCAAAGCTGGACAATCAAAGTACTCCAGAGCTGCTGGTGGATTCAAAGTACAAGAGCAAATGTCAAATAACAGCCTGCATGTCTGGAGGCACGTATTCCAACCCTATTAATGGGCTCATACATCCCTTCATATGAGTGTTCATTCAATATATATTCACTAACCACCTATCCTGTGGAAGGTGCTAAGTGCTGGGTGTCCAAGAACAAAAAGGAATTAGGTCCTGCCCTCAATAGACCTATATCCTAACAAAGAAGTTTGCAATTATTAATCATTCTTCTCAGTATTAGGTGGGTGGGTCCTAGACAAGTCAAACTCTGAGATATCTACTTCTTTAAAATGAAGAGTTTACTAGAAGAATATCTCCAAGGCCAATTCTAGTTCAAATCCATATGCATGTGCATTTTCTTTGTAACAGAAAAAATTAGTAAGTCTGTATTTTGAGCTCATTATCAGTTATTGTTAAAAGGGTCTTAAGCCCTACGGATGTAAGGTTTTGGCAGCAAACACTGAGGCTGATCACCAAGGCCCAGCATGTTGGGCTGAACAGTTTGCCTTCTTGTGTTCATCCAGTTGTGGCAGAGATTTGTCAGTGGTATTTGTTCTCAGTATTGCACAGTGAGGCAAGAGGCACGGTTTCAAGATCCCTGAAAAACAATTTCAACCTCTATAAAGCTCTACTGATGGCCAATGGCTGATCCCAGAGCTGAATTAGTGGAGCTTGTATTTATTTTTCTCCTATCCTCTACAGCACTCAAAAACAGGAAACTGTGCCATCATTACAGAAAGGGACAATTCAGTATAGAATAGTAATTGATAACATCTCACTTCTGTGGGCCCCAGGAATCCCCAAGAGGCTTGTTTTTAGTTTACTTTAGAATTACCTATGAAAGGAAAGTTTTGCTAAACAAGTAGTAAGGCAAAAATGCTACAAGGTTAAGGTTTACTTAATTAAGAGGCAGTATTTTATAGGTTTATAGGTTCTTTTAAAAAAAATCCATTTTTAGAGACAATGTCTTGCTCTGTAGCCCAGGCTGGAGTGCAGTGGCATGATCATGGCTCACTGCAGCCTTCAGTTCCTGAGCTCAAGTGATTCTCCTGCCTCAGCCTCCCAAAGTGCTGGGATTACAGGCATGAGCCACCAAGCCCAGTCAGCTTTTTGATCGGTGTAGTTAATGATTTTGGAGTCCAGTGGTTGCCATTGAAATGTACTTCTCTGATCAGGCGAAGTTCAGGTGGAGAAATCCTTTCATGAGCAGTTTGTATTGTCAGGATGAGTTACAAGCTCCTGGCTGTCAGCATGTTTGTTCCTCAGGCTCAACTCCATGTGTAACGTTTCAATACCTGCATCATTTCTGTCTTCCCATCTGCCTTGCGATTCTGATTTAGTCATCTGTTCAGTTACCTCTTGATTCCCAGTACCACCTGCTTTTCTTACATTTTTTTAAACCAAGAGACTCTAATTTTGAAAGCAACTTCAGATTGACAGAAAAACTCAACAGAAAATACAAAGTCCTGTGTACTTTCTTCCTCCCCACCTTCCCCTATTATTCATATTTTGCATTAGTGTGGTGCATTTGTTACAATTGGTGAGCCAATGTCTATACAATTTAAGGGCTCACTCTTTGCATGGTACACTGTACAAATTGTGACAAATGCGTAATGACATGTATCTGCTATTAAAGTGTCATGCCGAGTAGTTTCATACCCTAAGAATCCTCCATTCTCTGCCTGTTCATTGCTCCATCCCCTGCCTAAGCCTCTGGCAACCACTGATCTTTGTACTGTCTCCATGGTTGTGCCTTTTCCAGAATGTCGTACAGTTGGAATCATACAGGACGTAGCCTTTTCAGATTGGCTTCTTTCACTGGTACTATGCCTTTGAGGTTCTTCCAAGTCTTTTCATGGCTTAATAGTTCATTTCTGTTTATCATAAATAGTATTTCATTGTGTGAATGTACCACAGTTTGTTTATCCTACAGGACATCTTGGTTGCTCCCAGGTTTGGCAATTGTGAAGAAAACCACCATAAACATTCCTGTGCAGTTTTCTGTGAGGACATAAGTTTTCAATTCATTTGGGTTTATTCCTAGGAGTGCAATTGCTGGATCATATGGTAACTGCTTACTTTTATAAGAAACTGCCAAACTATCCTCTAAAGTGGCTGTTTCATTTTGTGTTCCCACCAGCAATGAATGAACGTTCCTGTTGCTCCACATTCTCATCAGCATTTGGTGTTGTCAGTGTTTTGGATTTGGGCCATTCCAACAGGTGTGTGGTACTCTCTTGTTGTTTTACTTGCAACTCCCTAATGACAGACGATGTGGAGCATCTTTTCATATGTTTATTTGCCATCCATACACCTTCTTTGGTGAGGTGTCTGTTTGAGTCTTTTGCCCATTCTTAAGTTGTTCACTTTTTTATTGTTGAGTTTTAGGAGTTCTGTGTCTATTTTGGATACCAGACCATTATCAGCTTTGTGTTTTGCAAATATTTTTCCCCATCTTGTGAATTGTGTCTTATTTTTTTCACAGTGTCTCTCACAGAGCTGAAATGTTTAATTTTAGTAAAATCCAACCTACCAATGTTCTGTGCTATGAATGGTACTTTTGCTGTTGTGTCTAAAAAGTGATTGCCAAACCCAAAGTCACCTACATTTTCTCCTGTGTCATCTTATAGGAGTTTTATGGTTTTCTGATTTACATTTAGGTCTATGATTCATTTTGAGTTAGTTTTTGTGAAAGGTGAAAGATGCGTGTCTAGATTCACTGATTTGCATGTGAATATCCAGTTGTTCCAGCACCATGTGTTGAAAAGACTATCCTTTCTCCGTTGAATTTCCTTTGCTCCTTTGTCAAAGGTCAGTTGATTATATTTGTGTGGGTCTATTTCTGGGCTCTTTTTTCTGTTCCATTGATCAGTTCATTTCTGTGCCAATGCCACACTGTCGTGATTATTGTGGCCTTATAGTCAGTCCTCCAACTTCAGGTCTTCTGCCTCTTCATATAAACTTTGGAATCAGTTTTTCAATATCCACAAAATAACTTTCTGTAATTTGGGTTGAGATTACATTGAATACATAGACCTAATTGGAAAGAACTGACATCTTGATAATATTGAGTCACCCCGTTAGGGGCTGACTTACGTCCCCCAACCTTCAAAATTCATATGTTGAAATCCTAGTAGCTCAGAATGTAACTATATTTGGAGATAGGACAGTTAAAGATAAGACCTTAAAGTTAAAATGGAACTATTTAAAGAGGTAGTTAAGGTGAAATGTACCCTAACCTAATCTGCTAGTGTTTTTATAAGAAGAGGAGATTAAGACACAAGGAAAGAGACAGCAGAGATGCACATGCACAGAGAAGAAAACCATGTGAGGACACAGGGAGGAGATAGCCATATGCAAGCCAAGGAAAGGGGCCTCAGGAGAAGCTAATCCTGCCAACACGTTTTTTTCCTTTCTTGAAAGAGGGTCTCACTTTTTTCCCCCAGTTGGAGTGCAGTGGTGTGATCATGGCTCACTGGAGCCTTGAACTCCCAGGCTCAATCTATCCTCCCACCTCAGCCTCCTAACGAGCTGGGACTACAGGAGCACATCACCACGCCCAGCTAATTTTTCCATTTGTTTTTGTAGAGACAGGTCTCACTTTGTTGCCCAGGCTGGCCTCAAACTCCCGTGATCCTCCCACCTTGGCCTCCCAAAGTGCTAGGATTACAGGCATAAGCCACAGTGCCTGGCTTATCATCACCTTGATCTTGGGCTTCTAGCCTCCAGAACTGTGAAAAGATAAATTTCTGTTATTTAAGCCACCCATTTTGTGGTATTTTGTTACAGCAGCCGTAGCAAACTAAAACACTCTCTATCCATGTATGTGAAATCTCTCTCCACTTATTTAGATTTTCTTAGGTTTATTTCATCAGTTTTCTTATTTTCCTCATACAGATCTTGTACATAGTTTGTTAGATGTATACCTACATATTTCTTTCTCTTCTAGTTCTTATGTAAGTTGCATTTTGTTTTTAGTTTTAAATTTCAAGTGTTCATTGCTGGTATATTAAAAAAAACTGACTTTTGTATACTAACCTTGCATCCTGCAACCTTGCTATAATTGCTATTAGCTCCAGGAGTTTGGGGTAATTATGTCATTTGTGAACAAAGAAAATTTTGTTTCTTCCTTACCAAACTACATACCTTTTATTTCCTTTTCTTGTCATATTGCATTAACTAGGACTTCTAGTACTACTTTAAATGGGAGTGATGAGAGGGGATGTCCTTGCTTGTTCCTGATCTTAGTGGGAAAGCATCTAGTTTCTCACCATTAAATTTGATGTTAGCTCTGTATTTTTTATAGATGTTCTCCATGAAGTCGAGGAAGTTCCCCTGTATTCCTAGTTTGCTGGGAGTTGTTTTTGTTTTGTTTTATCATGAATGGATATTGGATTTTGTCAAATATTGTTCTGCATCTGTTGATATTGTCATAAGATTTTTCTTCTTTAGCCTATTGATGTATTGTATTATGTTATGAGCTAAATGTGTGTGTCCCCTCAAAATTCATAGATTGAAGCCTTACACTGGTGTGACTGTATTTGGAGATAGGGCCTCTAAGAAAGTAATTACTGTTAAATAAAATCAGAAGGGTCTCTGATCTGATAGGACTAGTGTTCCCGTAAGAAAAGACGTCAGAGAGCATGCCCTCTCTTTCTCCATGCACACACACCGAGGAATGTGAGGACATAGCAAGAAAGTGGCCACCTACAAGCCAAGAAGAGAGCCCTGACCAAAAACCCAATCTGCCAGCACATGATCTTGGACTCCTCAGGCTTCAAAGCTGTGAGAAAATAAATCTCTGTTGTTTAGGCCACCCAGTTGTGGCATTTTAGCAGCTAGACCAGACAGATTACATTAATTGACTTTCAAGTATTGAACCAGCCTTGCATACCTGGAAATATATCCCACTTGGTTGTGGTGTATAATTATCTTCATACATTGTTGAATTCAATTTGCTGATCTTTTGTTGAAGATTTCTAATTTTTACCTTTTATTCTTTTGGTTTTCGTTTGTTTGCTTGCTTTGTTTTGTTTTTGAGACAGGGTCTCACTCTGTCACTCAGGCTGCAGTGCAGTGTTGTGAACATGGCTCACTGCAGCCTTGATTTCCTGGGCTCAAGTGATCCTACCACCTCAGCCTCCTGAGTAGCTGGGACTATGGGCATGCACCACCATGCCCAGCTATTTTTTTCTATTTTCCGTAGAGACGGGGTCTCACTGTGCTGCCCAGGCTGATGTCAAACTCCTTGACCTCAAGTTATCTTCCTGTCCCAACCTCCCAAAGTGCTGGGATTACCAGAGTGAGCCACCATGCTTAGCCTGTTGGGAATTTCTGCATCTGGGTTTGTGAGAGATATTGGTTGCTAACTTTCCTTTCTGGTAATGTCTGTGTCTAGTTTTGTATTAGGATAATCCTAGCTTCACAGAATAAGTTAGGAAGTATTCCTTTTGCTTCTGTTTTCTGGAAAAGAGTGTAGAGAATTGGCAGAGTTTCTTTGTTTAATGTTTGGTAGAATTCACCAATAATCCATCTGGGCTTGGTGCTTTCTGTTATTACTGATTCAATTCCTTTAATAGATATGGACCTATTCAGATTATATATTTATTTCTGTGTAGGTTTTGTGTGCATTTTAGTAGATTGTGCCTTTCAAGGGATTGGTTCATTTCATCTAGCTTATCAAATTTGTGGGCATAGGCTTTTTCATAATATTCCTTTATTATTCTTTAAAAGTCCACGAGATTAGTGGCAGTCCTCTTTTATTTCTGATATTAATAATTTGTATCTTCTCTCTTTTTTCTTAATTAACCTGACTAGATGTTTATCAGCTTTATTCATCTTTTCAATGGACCAGCTTTTGGTTTTATTGATTTTTTCTCTAGGATATCCTATTTTAAGTTGTTTCATTTCTACATTTATTTTGATTACTTGTTTTCTTCTGCTTACTTTGATTTTAATTTGCTCTTCTTTTTTCTCATTTCTGAAGGTGGAAGCTTAGATTATTAATTTTAGATCTTTCTTCTTTCCAAATATATGCAGTTAATGCTATAAATTTCCCTCTAAGCACTGCTTTCACTGCATTCTACAAATTTTGATAGGTTGTATTTTCATTTTCACTTAGTTCAAAATATCTTTAAATTTCTCCTGAGACTTTTTCTTTGACTTCTGTGCCATTTAGAAGTGGATCGTTTTATCCAAGTAATTGGGGGTTTCTCCCACTGTCTTTGTATTACTGATTTCTAGTTTAATTGTACTGTCATCTGAGAGCAAATTTTATACAGTTTCTATTCTTTTAAACTTGTTAAGGTGCGCTTCATAAACCAGAATGCAGTCTCTTGGTGAATTCTGTGTGAGTTTAAGAAGGATGTGTATTCTGCTATTAATGGATGAAGTATTCTATAAATGTCAATTAGATGCAGTTGATTGATGCTGTTGTTCAGTTCAACTATATCTTACTGATCTTCTGCCTACTGGATCTGTCAATTACTGATAGAGGGGAGTTGAAGCTTCCAAATATAAAAGTGAATTTATCTATTTCTCCTTGGATTTTTATCAGTTTTCTCTCACACATTTTGTCTCATGTCAGTTCTTTTAGGTGCATGCACATTAAGAATTGTTATGTCTTCTTGGAAAATTGACCCTATATCATTACATAATGTCTCTCTTTATTTTGATAATTTTCCTTTCTCTGGAGTCTACTTTGTCTGAAATTAATTCGTGGGCTAGAATTTGATATTTTCCTTCCTCCATGTTGGTTAGGCTCTGGCTAAATAGTTTCTCCTGAGGGGAAGCCTTGTTAAAAAGAACAGAATGTTCTGGTGTATTTTTAAATGGTTACTTTTCTTCTCCCTGGCCAGAAGTACAAGGAGTTTTTCTTCAGTCTTTACAGAAGTTGGTATATATCCAGTGCCTACAACCCCTTTGCATAGCAATTGGGGATTATCTATTAATACAGAAGAAGTGCAACCTCAGGGCCCATGATTCTGCTTGTCACATATGTGCACAGGAACCTTAGAGAACACTCATCACAGCACTGTGTGTAAAGAGTTTACAAATGAATGAACGACTTGTGGATAACTAACATTACCAGGGGTTTCCAGCAGCAGCAACGTGTGTTGAGCTGGAGCTACTTGTACTAACATGGGTAAATCTCAAAAACAAAATAAGTTTAAAAACCAAATTGCATATACTATACACAAAAATTAACTCAAAATGAATTAAAGACCTGAAAGTATAATATGAAAGTCATAGAAGAAAACATATGGGAAAAACTTCATGATATTGAATTTGGCAAGAATTTCTTGGAGGTAGCCCCAAAAGCAGAGGCAACAAAAGCAAAAATAGACTAATGGGATGACATCAAGCTTAAAAACTCTGCAGCAAAGGAAACAATTAACAGAGTGAAAAGACAACCTATGGAATGGGAGAAAATATTTTTAAATGATACATCTGATAAAAAGTTAATAGTCAGAATATATAAAGAATTCCTACAACTCAATAACAACAACAACAAACCCAAATAACCCTATTTAAAAATGGGCAAAGGACTTAAATAGATATTTCTCCAAAGAAAATATACAAATGGCCAACAAACACATGAAAAGATGCCCAACATCACTAATCACTAAGGAATTCAGTCAAAACCACAATGAAATATCACTTCATACCCATTGGGATGGCTAGTATAAAAACAAAAAACAGAAAATAAATTTTGGCAAGGATGTGGAAAAATTAGAACCCTTGTTCAGTGTTGATTGGAATGCAAAATGTTGTAGTCACTGTGAAAAACAGTATGGAGATTCTTCAAAAAAATAAAAATAAAACTACCATATGATCCAGCAATCCTACTTCTGGGTATGTATCCAAAAGAATTGAAAACAGGATATTTAAGAGATATTTGTACACCCATGTTTACAGCAGAATTATTCACAAAAGCCTAGAGGTGAAAGCAACGTAAATATCCATCAATGGGTGAATGGATAAAGAAGTGTGCTCTGTAAAGACAATGGAATATTATTCATCCTTAAAAAGGAAGGAAATTCAGTTGCATGTTACTCAGTGGATGAACCTTGAGGATATTATGCTATGTGAAATAAGCCAATCACAAAATACAAAAAGTGTATGATGCCACTTGTAAAAGGTGTCTAGAGTAATCAAACTCACAGGAACACAATGGTGGCTGCCAGAAGCCAGGGAAGTAGGGGTGAGGAGTTGCTTTTCAGTCGGTGCAGAGTTTCAGTCATGCAGGAGGGGAAAGGGGGCTTAGGAATCTGTTGCACAACACTTTAAGTGTGGTTAACAATATTGTACTCTACAAGTAGAAATTGTTGGGAGGGTGAATTTTAGGTTATGTGGTTTTTTGCCCTAATTTTCTAAAATAAAAAGCAAGTTGCAGAATCATATGTACAGTAAAAAGTCAAAGGATTTTAAAACACAAAACAATGTCACATAGAGTTTATTTATAGATGCATACATATATAGTAGAAATATTAAAGCAAGCATGAGAAAAATAAATAGAAATCGATGTTGGCAATGACCTCTGGGAAGAGAGTTGTATGGTATGGGTCAGGATTCTAGAGGAATAGTCATGTTTTATTTTTATTTCTTAAGATCTGGAGTGAAGTGGGTAAATTTTTAAAAGATTTGTTTTCAAGATTTTTTTATTTTTCCATTTGTTTGAAAAACCTGATCATTTTAAATAAAATCCTGGAGGCTCCCTCCTGCTCCCGACCCCTGACCATCCCGGTCACCTCCCTGCAGCCAGGACCAGCAGGGCAGGCAGTGCTGGAACCTTCTGCTGCTGTCAGAGTAGCCTCCACATGCTGGCATGTGCTTGTGATTATTGGAACTCATTCCTGGCTTTATTTATGCCACAGACAAAAATAATTCTCCCTTCCTGGGAGACATGTCATGGCTCCAGAATGTCTTGGGAGGAGAGAGCCAGAGGGTGGGACTCTTGGGGCCACACGCGTGCCTCTGCTCATCCAGACTATACCCAGGGCCAAGGGGGTGATAGACAGATGCCAGGCTCCTATTCCTTGAGAGCGAGGTCTGAGCTGGGATAATCCTTAGAGTCCAAATCAACCCGAAATATACATCAACCCTGTCCATCTCTGTTTCCCCCAAGGACCCCAGGTTAGTTGAGGTAACTCCAGGGCAAGCCCAAATCATACCAGGGTATAATTTAGGGGAGTGCAGGCTTCAGGCCAGACCAATCCCTGATGTTCCCTTTTTCCTCAGCATTCCCTGCAACAGAGCCTCACCTACCTTCGGGGCACTGCTGTGACATTTGGGGTTTCAAGAAAGGCTCAGAGTCAGCCTCACTTCAGGGAGAACCCAGGCCTGGCCTGAACCCCACGCTTCCCCTGACTCCAGGACCTAGCCTGACCCACCTTCGAGATTTCATCTCGGGCCAGCCCCTCCCACGCCGGGGTCCGGAGTCAGTGTGGGCTGTAACCCCCGGGGTCAGGAGTCAATGTGGGCTGTACCCCCTGGGGTCAGGAGTCAGCGTGGGCTGTACCCCCTGGGGTCAGGAGTCAGCGTGGGCTGTACCCCCTGGGGTCAGGAGTCAGTGTGGGCTGTATCCCGGTGGCATCCACCTGACTACTGTGCAGGCGGCTGGCGGCAGGTCCCGGACACATTGGGACGTGGTGTAGTTTTCATGCTGTGGAAGGCACCCTCCTTTCCCTGGCAGAACCAAAGGCCTGGCTAAGCACCTGTGGGGCTGGTCTGCACTGCTGTACTCCTCCCCACTCCCCTTCCCTCTGATACTGTGGGAGGGTCACCCCAATTCTCTTGGTCTTTCCTGGTGAACTTTCTGTTGGGCCTTAGGCACCTGCAGGTTGGAATGATAGGCTCTGGTCCACTTTCCAGCCCCAGGTGAAAAAGCTCAGGTCAACCTTTTCCCCTTCATTTTTCTTTCTCCCAGGGCTCTGCATGGACCCCTTTACACACAGCTCTGCCGCACAGGCTGCTGCCAGGTATAGAATCACTGCCGGCTCAGATACCAGGATGTGAAAAAAATCAGGACGAGCCTTAGAAAAGTAAGAGGATGGTGATTAAACACATAAATAAATAAAGCAATTAGGAGGAGGATGCATAACCAAAAAGCAAGGTAAGGAGAAAGAGGAGGGGACTTCAGGCAAGGCCTCTCCAGTTACTGTCATTAGAGCAGAAATCTGAGAGAGGTGAGGGGCCAGCCAGCGGGAAGGGCACCCCAGGTGGGGAACGACAGGTGTGAGGTTCTGAGGACAGGGGTGGGGCTGGGCTGGGCAAGGCCAAGGAGGGAGAGAGAGGCCAGAGCTTTGAGCACAAAAGGAATGAGATCCTTGTCACTCACAGGGCCAATGTTGGAAGCAGGACCCCAAGTAGGAAGCCACTTCGAAAGTCCAGGGGCGGTGACCAGGTTTGGGCAGTTTTCTTTACTGTGATGGAAGAGAACTGAGGGAAAGGTGGACGGGGACAGGGACTGCTGGGGACACTTAAATAATTTACTTTGATATTATTTATGCAAACTTTTAAAACAAACAGTATAATATATTTCTTATATATGATCATTCCCATAAACAATATATTTAAAATATGAAAAGCACAGAATAGAGCGAACATATCAGTGGTTGCCGTTGAGGAGGGGGAGAGAGGAGGGGAATAGCATTGAGGAATGGTTAAAGGGGGACATAAACTTTATGTGTCATGGTTTTATGCCACAGAGATATGAAGCAAAAATCACAAGTTATTATATTAGTGTCTGTTTTTCCGGGTGGTGACTGCTGCAGTATTGGCTACCATATTCTCTGTACTGTCTTTGTCTGGATTTTTTTTTCCCAATGGAGAATTGGGAGAGCAATGCCTTGCACTGCTGGGTGGATTCGATCCCCAGGCACTTCCTGACTCTCTTCATGCTTCTCAAAATCTCCCTGCCATGCAGGCAGGGCCAGCTCTGCCTCACCCTTTGGGTTTTGTGAGTGACTTGGCCAAGTCTACGGCTGGTAAATCTGGGCTGAGACTGGAACCAGGTTTCCCGGCTCCACAGTTCAGAGCTCTGTCCTGTGTCCTGGAGTCTCTAAGGTCCAGGAGACACCTCGACCTCCTGGAGGAAGATGCTGCCACCTAAAACAGGTTTCCAGGGCAACCAGCTTCCCCAGCTGCTTGGAAAGAGGAGGGATATCCAGGGCTCCCTGGTGGGCTTGTCATGCCCAGCAAGTCAGAGCCCAGTGGAGCCAATGAGTACTGAATGACTTCATTCACTCATGTAACAAGTATCTAGTGACCTTGAGTATGATCCAGGCCCCCTGTGAAACAGACAAACCAGAGATAAATGTTAGATGCCCTTGCATTTCCCCTGGGGGGTAGACAGAGATGTGAACAGAAGCCCTGGGCTTTCCTGGGGAGGAGTCCTCACCCCCATCAGAGCACAATCCCCACCAGGGTGTGTCCACAAGCTGAACCACAGAAGCTCTGGACCACTCGAGCCTGATTACCATCTGGGGGCAGAAGGAGGGGGACAGAGTGCTCCAGAGGCATCATTCTGTTCCTGCACCCTCCACCCTCCTTCCTCCTTGGTGTCTGGGCAGAACTTCCTTCCATTGCCCATCTCAGTTGTATTCCCTTTATTCACTCTCCTCCTCACTTTTTTGAAATTAATTTTTTTTTAATTAGAGATGGATGTCACTATGTTGCCCAGGCTGGTCTTGAACTCCTGCCCTCCAGTGATCCTCCCACATCAGCCTCCCAAAGTACTGAGATTACAGGCATAAGCCACCACGCCTGGCCTCTCCTCCCCACTCATAATGTTTGTTTTTAAAGTTTGCATAAATAACATCCAAAATAAGTTATTTGTGCTCCCCCAACAGCCCCTGCCCCAATCTAGCCTTTCCCTCAGTTCTCCATCTCAGCAAAGATATCTGGGTCCTGCCGGTTACTGGGCAGCCGCCCTTGGTTCCTTTCTTTTCCTCATGCCCACAGCTCTCCTTCCAAAACTGCTGTGAGCTTGCCTTAGATTGAAGGCTTACCCAGCACTTAGCAAAAGGTTACCCAAGACTTACCAAAATGACCTCTTTTACATACTAATTCCTCCCCCTGCACTCCTTATCCTGCTGTTTTTATCTAAAACACATATCACCTGGCCAAGCACAGGGGCTCACACCTGTAATCCCAGCACTCTGTGAAGCCAAGGTGGAAGGATCACTTGAGCCCAAGAGTTCGAGGCCCCATGGGCAACATGGCAAAAGCCCATCTCTACAAAAAATCCAAAAATTAGCCCAGCATGCTGGTGTGCACCTGTAGTCCCAGCTGCTTGGGAGGCTGAGGTGGGAGAATTGCTTGAGCCCAGGAGGCCAAAGCTCCAGTGAGCTGTGATTGCATCACTGCACTCCAGCCTGGCTGAAAGAGCAGCACCCTGTCTCAAAAAAAAAAAAAAAAAAAAAAAAAAAAAAAAAAGAGTATCACCTCCTATCATAATATTGACTTACGGGCCAGGCATGGTGGCTCACACCGGTAATCCCAGCACTTTGGGAGGCCGAGGTGGGCGGATTGCCTGAGGTCAGGAGTTTGAGACCAGCCTGGCTAACATAGTGAAACCCCGTTTCAACTAAAAATACAAAAATTAGCTGCGCATGGTGGCACATGCCTGTAGTCCCTGCTACTCAGAAGTCAGGAGAATTGCTTGAACCCAGGAGGCGGAGGTTGCAGTGAGCCAAGATCGTGACACTGTACTCCAGCCTGGGTGACAGAGCAAGACTCCATCTCACAAAAAAAAAAAAAATTGACTTACTTATTATGTTAGATGTTTGTCTGCCCCATCCCCACCACTCCCATAAAGGCAGAGGGTTTTATCTATTTCATACCTGCTGCATCCCCAGCGCCGAGAATAATGCTTGGCCCAGACCAGTCATTCAATAACTGTATCTTGAGTAAACAGAGAGAATTTATCAGAAGCTACTAGAATTAGCTAGGCATGGTATTGGGCTCAGCTACTCAAGAACCTGAGGTGGGAGGATTGCTTGAGCCCAGGAGGTTGAGGCTGCAGTGAACTATGATCACACCACTGCACTCCAGCCTGGATGACAGCATGAGACTCTGTCAATAAATAAAGAAATAAATAAAAGCAACCAGAATCCGAGCGTGTGGACTTAGAGGCCTGGGCAGTGTGTAGGTGGTGGTACCTGGACACAGGTGTACGCAGGGGTGTAAGAATGAAGGCCACCCGAGAGCCTCATGCCTCCCTCCAGGGGATATACCCAGTATATGAGCAAGACAAAGCTGCCAAGCAGGGACCTCCTTGCAGGGGCCACCCCTCAGAGTAAAGAGGCTCTACTGGAGGTAACAGTGCCCAGGGGAGCTAGCTGAGGGAGAGCCAGCCTTTTTGGCAAGCCACCACAACTAAAAACAAGGCTGCCCTGCCAAGCCACACAAGTCTGAAACTCACCGTGCTGTTTCCACGATGCTGTTTCCATAGCTCTTTAGGACCTGTTCGTCCAAAGGCTGGTGGTGGTGAGAAATAAAATGGAAATTGTCGCAAATGAAGCTTTTAGAGTGGGTTTTCTCTCTCTTGCTAAAGCCTCTCACTGCAGCTTGAATTCAGGATATGCACAAAGAGATACTGGAGGACAGTCTTTGGGGGTGGGTAGGGGAAGGGGTCACTCAAGTAATCAGCTTTTAAAATGCAATTTAATACAAATATTGATTGAATACCTGCTGTGTACAAGGCTCTCTTTGGGGATGTGGGCTCTGAACCAGAGTAAGATGTGGGCAAGAGACCCTCTGAGGCTAGAGCTGCCTCTGAGAGCCCTCCAAGGGGAGCCAGGAGAGGCCTCAGTTCATTTAACATGCAAATGTGAGCAGCATCCTCTCCAGGCAAAGCTTCATTGCTCCTGTTTCGTTATAGCTTCTTCCTTCCCAGGGAATGAAGCTTCCCAAGAGAAAACCCACATTTTCAAGCTGCACTGTTGATTGGTCACGATCTCCCCACCCCCACGTGCCCCTTCTTAGCTAGACTCCATTGTAATAGCTGGTGACTTCTCCCCGGTTCACAGGATTTCATGTGGTTCACCTACAAGCCTCATTTCATTTTATAGTCACTATTTTCTCAGCCTTCCCTAACAGCAGATGTGGCTGAAGTAGCTATTTCTCAGATTGGGTTACCCAGAAAGTATCTTTGATATACAAAAGGCTATTTATTCTCTTCCACCATGCATATCCCAGGCTCACGCTAAGCCTTTATATTTTATTCATTAAGTCAGTCCTCAAAATCCTGATGACAGCTCAGGCAGTAGATCAGAGAAGGAAACAATTTTTCCATTTTCCACCTGGGAGGTGGAGTTCCACGTGCCATCACCAAGTAAGGGTGGGGTTGCCTCTGTGAGCAGCCTCTCCACAGGCTGCTTTGCTGTCTTCATAGTTTGGGGGTGGCAGGAAATAAAGATGGCTGAGCACCTGCAGCTGCTTCTTCCGGAGCAATCATGAGGTAGTTTCTGGTGTCCTGTCCCAGCTCATACATGCTGCGTTGCTTGTGGGTGGTGATGGCTGAGGTGTGGCCTTGTCCCTGGCTGGGTGGTCCCAACTTCTCTATTGCTGGCTGGGTGGCATCCAAGTCTACTCTCTGGCCCTCCTGGAGATTCTTCAAATTCCCTAGAATAATGCAAGAAATTCACCCCTCGCTTAAACTAGACAGACAGGGCTGTTAGGATAGGAGGGGAGATTCCACCAGTCCCAATTAGTCCAATGGTAAATTGTTCCTCCAAACAATGGACAATTAAAAAGAATGCTTGAGAGAAGGACAGTGCCTGTGACCAGCTTGGGATCTGGGGTTTTAGCCTGGGTGTCACGTGAAAATTTTTGACAGTTTTGTCTATAAAGCCTCATTTACTAATAATAGACTTTTAGAACCCATTACATGCGAAAAAAACAAAAGAATCCAGATGGAAGAATGTGAAGTCAGCTATGGAGTAATTCACTTCTTAGCTGGACCCTTGTCTTTTAAAGGGCTTCTATCACCTACAAATTGTAAACCAAAAGTAAAATTCCAAGCCTCCCAACTGACTGAATAGGCTCTCCTCTTGGCCACGGAGACCCAAAGAAACCAGAAAAACCAGTTTAGGCCATGACGGGAAGCAGGGAGGGTCAGACATACCTCATCACACCCTCCTCCCTTTGGAGTTCAGGCACAGCTGACCAGCATTAACATTAAATTAGGGATCCTGAGACGGACAGAACAGACTCCTAATAGCAATAAGAGACCAAGCTTCAACCTGACCCCAGCATAGCATCACATGACAGATAGCAGGCCCTGAAAGAAATCCAAGTATTTTACTCCAAAATAGATTCAGCTGTCTCGTGTGGGGGAAATTTGCATTCTGTAGAGAATCTCCTTCCCTGACTAGGTCTCTCCAGAGTCTGACACCTTTGATAAGAGACAAATTCACATCCATTCTTTCTGCAGCCTGGAGGCTTCATCTACATGATAAGAACCTTAGCTTCCACAATCCTCTCCCCCAACCCACCTTTACCTTACCACAAGCTGCTTTCAACTCTTCAGGCAGAGCTTAGCCCTTTCAACCAATTGCCAATCAGGAAATCTTTAAATCCACCTGTGACGCAGATGCCTCCACTTCAAGATGTCCCACCTTTCCAGGCCAAACCAATGTATACCTTATACATATTGATTTTTGTCTTTGCCTGTTCTGTCTCCCTAAAATTTATAAAATCAAACTGTAACCCAACCACCTTGGGCACAGGTTCTCAAGATCTTCTGAGGTTATGTCATGGGCCATGATCTTTAACCTCGGCAAAATAAATCTCTAAATTGATTGAGATCTGTCTCAGATACTTTTTGATTAACAAAGCAAAGCTAATGGAAATAACTAGATTTCAAGGATGTGGAATAGCCTGACTCCCAGTCCAGCATTACTTGCCCTCGCTGCTGTCCAAGCAGGAGACCAGGCAGTGCGCTGCTCAGACCAGCCGTCACCTGAACACAGACCCACAGGCCTGCCCACCCTGCCGGGCCTTGCTGCAGCTCTTCCCCAGGACCGCATGGACGCCCTTGCGTCTTTGCAACACTGTGTCCATGAAGACAAGAACAGCTTCCAGAGGCTTTGCCTGCGTGAGGGTTGATAGTCACCTGTGGAGGTGTGTGTCCCACGTAGTGTCACAGGGCAGGGGAGAGCCTGGGCCCTCTGTGAATAGCTGCATTTAAGAGCTGAGTGCAGCTGACGAGGTGCACTGGAGGCCTCTCCTTTAAGGAAATCCAGTACAAGAACAGAGAGGGCTGAAGTAGGAGTGGGTGTAAGAGAGATAGTAATCTACTTCATAAAACTGTCTGCCCGAAGCCACTTATCCACATTTTCAGGATGATTTAATTCATTAAAAATTTCACTTATCACAACCTTTCTGGGACATGTCTACTCAATGTGAGGCATGAATGTAAGCATATGTAAATAATTCCTAAATAGAAGCAATGAATCCATGGACATTGTGACCCTAAAGAGGAATCTCCAGGCTTGATTTTGCAGAGAATGTGGGGATTCTGGTGATGACTCATGAAAGAGTGGGACTTTGTAGGAAGACTGCTCCCTGGGGCACTGCAGGAAACCACCCAAGACGCAGCCCTATTAACTATCGTCAGTGGTGAACAGGCCTGTCTGAGTCCACTGAACTTCTTTCTAACACATTCTAAAATATTAGTTATCAAAGTACATATTCATTAGTAATTCTGGAAAATTCAGGAAAACCCAAAGAAGAATATTAAGTATTTCCATTATTCAGGAATACCCACTAGTAATGTATTTTTCCTTTTCTCTTTTTCTTTCTTTGTCTTTCTTTCTTTCTCTCTTTCTCTTTCTTTCTTCTTTCTTTTCTTTCTTTCTTTCTTTCCTTCTTTTTTTAGCATGCTCCTTTCAACTGATAATATATCATAATTCTTTTTGGATGTTATTCATTATTTTTCTATAATGACTTACTGAAATTTGGTTATTGGTTGGGTGCAATGGCTCACACCTGTAATCCCAATTCTTTGGGAGGCTGAGGCAGGTGGATTGCCTGAGCCCAGGGGTTCAAGACCAGCCTGGGCAATATGATGAAACCCCATCTCTACAAAAAATTAGCTTAGCTGGGCATGGTGGCATGTGCCTGTAGTCCCAGCTACCCTGGAGGCAAGGTGGGAGAATCACCTAAGTCCAGGAGATTGAGGCTGCAGTGAGCCATGATCATGCAACTGCACTCCAGTCTGGGTGACAGAGTGAGATCTTATCTCAAAAATAAAATGAAATAAATTTGGTTATTACAACAGCTTTAATATTGATAGCATCTTTGTTTCACCACTTAAGAGCCAGCTATTTGACTGAATTCGATTCTTAGGGCTGCTGTAACAAATTATTACAAACTGGGTAGCTTAAAACAACGGAAACTCATTCTTTCTCAGTTATAGAAACCATAAGTCCAAAATCCAGGTGTCAGCAGGGCCGTGTTCCCTCTGAAGGCTCCAGGAGAGAACCTTTTCCAGCCTCTCCCAGCTTCTGGTGGCTGTCCACATTCCTTGGCTTGTGGCCACATCACTCCAGTCTCTAACCCTGTCTTCACATGGCCTTCTCCTCTTGTCTCTTATAAGGAGACTTATCATTGGGTTAGGGCCCATTCTTGTTTTCCAGGATTATTTCATCCCAAGATCCTCAACTTAATTGTATCTACAAAGACTCTTTTCCCAACCAATGTAATATTCACAGATCTAAGGGGTTTGGACATATCTTTTGGGGCCACCATTTACTCCACTACGATGACTTTGGGCAAATATTTTAACCTAAATCTCAGGTTCCTCACCTGTAAAATGGGGAGATTGTAGTTGCTATCTCAAAGAGCTGTGAGGATTGAATGGGTTATTCTGTGTGAAGTACCTGGCACCTGCCTGGCACAGACTATCCACTCAATCATGGTAAACTATTTTAATAATTATTATTATTCACAAGTATCAGCTTTCTTTCCTCACAACAGTACTGTGAGTAGGGAGAGGCAGAGAGGCAGAGGTCTTGAGGGAAAAGAATCGCTGGGCACTGGACATGAAAAGGCATTGAAAGATGGCCTGAGCCTTGGTCTCCAAATGTACTCACCTACCTGACAACTAAGAAAGAGCCATGTGCTAAACGTTTCTAGAGGTTTTTCCACTCCATCCTGTAAGCCTAACTTGAAGAGCAAGAGTGGGAAGGAAGGGAAGGAAAGAAGAGAGATGGGGAGGGAAGGGGAGGGAAGAAAAGGGATGGGGAAGGAAGGGGACTGAAAGAGAAAGAAAAGAGAGAAAGGGGGCAGGGGGCACCAGGTTGTTCCTGAGCCTATTTATTCCCATTCATTTTCTGGATATTTTTGAAAACCCACCCTGGGAAGCAATAGCTAGTGCACTGCACAGCTCATGAGTCTTGATCAAAAAAGTGTAGCCTCCATTTGAGAAGAAGCCATGCTTGGGAAATGAGTCTCAGGGAGGGAGCCCAAAGGGAAGAGAATGCCCAACCCTACCAGAGAGGAGGGAGGAAGAAGAGCCAAAATCAGGAAGGGTCCTGAGCCTAGCTCCACCCCATCTGGCCAAGTGATCTGTAGGGGGCCTCTCAGCTTTGTGAATTTCTTCTTAAAAAGGATCCTTCACATTGATTGCCTTCAAAGGCCACTAAAATAGACTCACAAAAGATCTCACAAGGGACAAGATGAATAGGCCCTCTCTGGAAGAACCAGGCCACTCTGGGAAAGTTTGGGGTTCTGAGCCTTGCTCAGGGCTTCAGCGTCGTTTCTGTGAGTGTCTTCTTGGTGAAGCTCAAGCTGCCTTTCGCATTTGCCCTGCTCTGAATTCCACCCCCTGCCACCACATGCATGGAGGCAAAGGTAATGAAGGGAAATGTGATTTGTGTCTGGGATGGATCTCCTCCTGATTCATCCCAGTGTGGTTTTCTCACGGTGGACAGAGTTGGCTTGCCTGCACATCCCCTCTAACTCAGGAAGTCCTTGGCTAGTGCCAGGGCTCAGAGGAGTTTGGGGGAGCCCGTGGATTCTGATCTTGCAGCATTTCTAGCTCTGGGGCCACCGGGTTCTTGACTCCACTCTCCGGTTCTAACTTGAATCCCTGCCCCAGCCTCCCGCTCTCAGCACAGAGCACCTTCTCCATGTCATTCCCCTGCTTCAAAGCCTTCCTGGTCAGTGTCTTCAATTCCGAACAACTTTTGCATACGTGTCAAAACGACCCATGTGTTGCACACTGATCAGAAAATATCAGCGATGGCTCCTATCCCCGCAACAGGAAATGTTACACTGAGCACTACACTCAGATCTGCCAAATGTAGAAACTTGAATATCAAACAGGCATAGAAGCAGTCATATAATCTGCTCCTGTAACCTCAGTGAGGTCCTGTTCTCTGTCCTTTGTGGCTCCCTGCAAGCATCCTGCATGAAAGATCCACTCTAAAGCAGATGCTATAGGAGTTCTGTCAGCAAGCTGTCTACGGGGGCCACTGAGTCCTCTGTGAAGGATGGGGTGGGGTGGGGCGGAGGACCAAGCAGAGTCCTCCACTGACAGCTGTACTCCAGGGGTGGGCAACTGAGCATGCTGTGTCTTTACACCTCACTGTGCAATGGGGCAAGCACTTATACAACCCACATGTCCTGAATCCCACTATATCACCAATGAAAAATTGACATTGGAAGTACTTGCTAGAGCCTCCTGTGAGTGTTAATTCTTGAATGCTTGCTAACTGATCCTAAGCTGTGAAGCTAACTTCACACATAAACATGTCACAGGGTTCACAGTGGTCTATTCTGAAATATATGGCAAGCAATGCCATGCAATGATCTGGCCCTAGCCAACTTCTTCCAATTTATCTCCAGTTACTCCTTACATGTGCACCACCAAACTCAAGTGAAACTGTCCATGGTAGCCTCCAAAGAATCCAGAACTACTGAGGAGAAGGCACTAACACACACAGAAAGTTTAATAATAAAACAAATACTAGTGAATCATACAAATAGGGGTCAGATGATGGTGGAAGAGGTATCACTGCCCCAAACAAGTAACTTGAGTCTATCCTAGTTGTCAGGGATCATCCTTTCCTTTCTATTAAAAAAAAATTTAAATCACCCCCGCCCACATCTCCCACAGGACTGTGGGACATTCCGTGCCTTCCCCAGGACTTCCTGGTAATACCAAGTGACCCCCTCCCAACTCTCACTCTGAATTCCTGCCCTTATCACAACTCTCATCATCTGGAACTTCTCTCTCTCCCTCTCTCTCTCTCTTTCTCCCTCTTGTTTACTTGCTCACTTTTTCTTTCTTCTTCCTCCAGGGTGGACACAGCCTCTTCCCCTCTGTTCTCTAAGTACAACAAGCAGTGTGCTATTGGGCCCAAAATCTGTCACTGACAGTTTAGGATTACGAAGATCTGAGACTGAACGTTGGATTCAGTATTCCTGTGGTTCACAGGTTATGTCCGCTGCCAGGGACTCACACACTGGCCTCCTCTGTGTGGTGCCAGCCAGCCACCATATTGCTGGGACTCCTTATCTCCACAGGGAGGCTGCTGCCCTTCCACCTCACCAGGTCCCAGGGCCAGACCTTTGGTCTCTCCTGCTACCACAGAGAAAACAGAACGTTATGCAAACAACTGTCTGTCTCAACCTCTCCTATACAAGGCCCAGGTTAACCTTTGAATAACCAAAAAGCCATTAAGGGCTGGGCACAGTGCCTCTTGCCTGTAATCCCAGCACTTTGGGAATACGAGGCAGGAGGATTGCTTGAGCCCAGGAGTTTGAGACCAGCCAGGGCAACATAGCGAGACTTCATCTCTACTAGAAATAAAAAAAAGTTAGCTGGGCATGGTGACATGTGTCAGTAGTCCCAGCTGCGCAAGAGACTGGGGTGGGAGGATCGCTTAAGACCAGGAGTTTGAGGCTTCAGTGAGCAATGATAGTACCACTGCACTCCAGCCTGGTTGACAGAGTGAGACACTGTCTCAAAAAAAAAAAAATGCCATTAAGATGTTTCACGAACCCAAGAAATCTTTCCTCCCTAAAAGGAACTTTGCAACTCTCCCGGACCAGAATTTCTTCATTTCCCAAAGTGGGTCTGGGGCACTGCGTATTCCTAAAAGTGTGCTAGCTAATCATAATTTTAATATTATTTTGTTTTCATTGCAATATTCTAAAAATTCAAAATAAACTTATCATGATCATCTGGGTGATCTAGGACACTTTAGAAGCCATGTTGATGTTTCTACTTATGACCAGGTTGGCACAAGTGCCTGCCTAAAGCCCTTAACTAATAATGCAGGGTGGCCTCCCTTGATCCGAAAACCCCTGAAGGTCTGAAAGACTCGTCGCAGGATCTGAAGTAATTCATTTTCTTTTCTTTTTTTTTCTTTTTCTTTTTTTAGTTTTTTGAGACAGAATTTCACTCTGTCGCCCAGGCTGGAATGCAGTGGCGCAATGTCGGCTCACTGCAACCCCTGCTTCCTGGGTTCAAGCGATTCTCCTGCCTCAGCCTCCCGAGTAGCTGGGATTACAGGCGTGTGCCACCACAACTGGCTAATTTTTTGTATTTTTAGTAGAAACGGGGTTTCACTGTGTTAGCCAGGATGGTCTCCATCTCCTGACCTCCTGATCCGCCCACCTTGGCCTCCCAAAGTGCTGGGATTACAGGCGTGGGCCACCGCGCTGGGCCAGAATTCATTTTCTTTACAAGAACTGTACAGAACTTTCAGCAGAGCATTCACTAGAGTGAATATATATAGAAAGTGACTAAATATATATGCTGTATATATATATATTTTATATATATATACACACACATATAGTGTAGATACTATAGTGATTATATTCCCAGATCCTAAAATATGTGTGTGGATATATGTACACACACTGTATACTTGCTACAGTGAATATATATAGTGACTATATGACTGACACACACACACACACACACACAGACTATAGCTTTTTTTTTTTTTGAGACAGAGTCTCGCTCTGTCACCGAGGCTAGAGTGCAGTGGCATAATCTAGGCTCACTGCAACCTCCGCCTCCTGGATTCAAGCAATTCTCTGCCTCAGCCTTCCTGTAGCTGGAATTACAGGCACCCACCACCACGCCCAGCTAATTTTTGTATTTTTTTTTTCAGTAGAGATAGTTTCACGATCTTGGCCAGGCTGGTCTTGAACTCATGACCTCATGATCCACTCGCCTCGGCCTCCCAAAATGCTGGGATTACAGGCGTGAGCCACTGTACCCAGCCAAATATAGCTATTATAGTGAGTATATTCCCAGATTCAGAAGCCGGGCTCTATGATGTGTTTGTGTATGCTTATGGATATATAATATATCCAATACAGCACATATATTGTCACCATATGTAAGTGGGCACCTTCAGGATGCAGGAATAGCCCCCTGCCAGATTCACTTTCCTCCCTCTACACCACTGCTATTGCCTTTCTCCCAAGTTATCCCTCTCCATTCCCGTCTATCTGCTTATCTACAACTCAACTCATCTTCCACAAGCCACCTCGGCAAGATTTTCCAGTGTGAAATCTCCCCCTCAGGCTGGGGTGGCCTGTTCATCTTCTGATCATAGGTTACTGTCATTCCCCAAGGCAAGGAAAGGCAATTATACTGCATGGAACACACCTGGGAAGAGAGAGCAAGCTCAGCTCTGGATTCCTTAAATTGCCCCAAATACTTTGGCCTCATTTTTTCCTAGAACTTATTTTTCTGTATTACTTGTGTGTCATTTGGCTTATGCATTCATTAAAGAAACCTTGGATTCCTCTTGCATTTCACAAAAAGCCCATAAAAGGCATGTATTTGACTCTTTCTGAGCTGATTTTTTTTTAAATTCCATTTCTACTTACACATTGGGTATTTTCTCACACCCCCAAAGCGCTGATGCTTATGCTCGTTTGTAAAGGATGAGTGGAAGTTTGATAGGTGGACAGCAGGCAGAAAGGGTTGGCACTCCAGGCAAAAGGAACCACATGTGGAGAGGCACAGAGGTGTGGAACAGCGTATCTTTATTAGCTCCACGTGACTGGGCAAGACGCAGCAAGCTGGACGGTCTGAAGAAACCAAGCTGGCGAGGAAAGCAGGGTGTAAATTACAAAAGGCATGTTCCCATGCAAAGGAGCAACTTTTGTTATTGATGATGGGACCATCGGAAATATCTAAGCAAGGTAGTGACATGTTCATTATTTCCTTGGTGTTAGTAAGAAAGAGGGCTTGGAAGTGCACAAGAGTTATGGCATGGGGACATGGTCCAGAGACTCCCGTATTTCAATTTTTGTATCACCCCAGAATGCCTGCTCTTTTCCACCTTGGACTGGAGCTAGCTGGTTTAACACCTGTGTTGGGGGCTGCCTTTCACCTGGGTTTCTGGCTCATGTCCTCAGGGGCAAGGATCGTTCCTCAGGCTTTTATGGATCTCCTCCCCTGCACCAGCTCAGCACATCTCTGTACCTCATTTTTTGGTTGGTTGGTTGGTTTTGTTTTTAATGAATCACTCAGTCTGCTGAAAGTAGCTTTGATGACAGGTTTGGATGATTATATTAGATTTCTATTCTCACTCTCGTTATTTGTACCCAAACAGAGCCAAAGGTTAAAATCCCAGTACTACTATGGGTCTCTTAAGAGAGACCTTGGGAAATCATTGATTTCTCTAGACCATCATTTCCTCCCTAAAAGATGAGATGGTGTCCCCACCCCTTCAATGCCATTATGGAATCAGATAGACGGAGTACTGATTAGAAGGACATTACAGTCCAGTGTTGGAAATGGACCATTGATTTCTCACCCAAGAGATACTTTCTCTTCCCCTACTGCCACCCCAATTCCCCCAGGAAAATGTCAGTCTTTCTCCCAGAGCACTGCCTCTCTCCACCCCATCCCAAGCTTCATCATCTCCTTGACAGCCTAAAGACAGGTCAGAGGCTGCCATTTATCACCCAGGAATGTATGTCTGTGGTGTATCATATAGGGCCTTCTCCCCTCCCCGCTCACCTTCCTCCAACCCCAGTGCCCTGTATCATCCACCTGGGTCAGCAGCATCTTCGAATACCTGCTGTGTGATGTCAGTTCTTGCAAATTGACCTGAAGTGAGGCTGCAAGTCTTCTTTTCTGGGGTGTTGCCCATCACAGTTCTCTTCTTACTGTGGGGACCCAGCCCAGGGGCTGACCTGGACTTTCAGAGACCCTCCAGGGACAAATGCTGAGGGAGAGAGCACAGCACCACCTACAGGATCAGCTCTGGTCCAGCTGCATGTCCACATGAAACCATAATTTGCACCCACTGCCCATGACCCCTGGATAAAATGGGGCTGGGGGGCGGGGCATTGTATATTCCTACCACACCACCTCCCAGCACCCCGCACACTGCCTGCTACCCAAACACTGCTCAATTAATGTTTCTTAAACAAATAACTGCTGAACTATTTTTGACCTTGCCAATTTTTTGTGTTGTAATCACCCATTAGACTTGGCTTTGAAAAAAAATGAGTAATTAATAACAAATGTACTCCATGTAAGCAAAGGTACCAAACATGAGTTTCCATTAAAAAAGCTTACTTTCCATAACCACATTAGCATTTTATTAGCAAAAGAGTGTTTCAGTTAAAACTGGAATAACATTGAGATCATTTGTTGTCCAAGGATTTCTCAATTCCAGCTATCAGGCCTCCTCTGTAAACCTCAGAATTGCTATTTAAGCCTACAGAACTTTATGTTCTGATATTCTTAAGTGAAGAGTCCTTTTAAATGGCCAGTTGCTATTTAGAAAACTGTCTAAGCTGATTGGAGAGGTAATTATCTATTTTCCCTCAGTTTCACTGGAAGAAATGTGAATTTGTTGACCAATTATTGTTTACTATGGTAATAGGTACATATTTTCTATTATCTTCACTTGTTGCATATCACGTAAAACTTATAGTAAAGCACGGGCTTGTGTCTTAAAAATGGAACAGAGGAAGACATTTAGATGGGTTTGTGGTCTAAAAATAGTTAATTTAGGAGATCAGTTAATCAGCAAATACCTGTTAAGCATTTATGCAGAATACGAAAAAGTACAAGGTGAGGGTCCTGCCCTCAAATTTCTTATGGTCTTAGAGATGACACAGGACAATGACACTTTGCCATGAGCATGATTTCAAGAATCAAGACCAGGTCTTCTGATTCTCAGGCTCCATACACCAGGAGATACTTTTGTTTATTGTTTGTTTGTTTTTAAGATGGAGCCTCGCCCTGTTGCCCAGGCTGGAGTGTAGTGGTGCGACCTCAGCTCACTGCAACCTCTGCCTCCTGGGTTCAAGTGATTCTCCTGCCTCAGCCTCCCGAATAGCTGGGATTACAGGCGCCCACCACCACACCCGGCTAATATTTGTATTTTTAGTAGAGACGGGGTTTCACCATATTGGCCAGGTTGGTCTTGAACTCCTGACCTCAAGTGATCCCCTTGCCTAGGCCTCCCAAAGTGCTGGGATTACAGGTGTGAGCCACCACATCCGGACCCCAGAAGACACTTCTGGATGATGCTGGTGCAGTGATCAGAGATCTAGTCAAGTAAATGGATAGATATCAATACTACAATAGTTGATGTCAGGGACTGAATGTTTGTGTCCCTGTAAAATTCAAACCTTGAAATCTAAACCCCAATGTGATAGTATTAGGAAATGGGGCCTTGGGGAGATGATTAGGTCATGAGGGTGGAGCCCTCATGATGGGATTTGTGCCCTTTTAAGAAAAGACATGAGGCTGGGCACAGTGGCTCACTTCTGCAATCCCAACAGTTTGGGATACCGAGGCAGGCAGACAGCTTGAGCTCAGGAGTTCAAGATCAGCCTGGGCAATGTGGTGAAACCTCACCACTACAAAAAGCAAAAATTAGCCAGTGTGGTGGCCCATGACTGTAGTCCCAGCCACTCAGGAGTCTGAGATGGGAAGATTACTTGAGCCAAGGAGGTTGAGACTGCAGTGAGCTGTGATCATGCCATTGTACTCCAGCATGGGTCACAGAGCTGGTATGCCCATGCCAGGGCAAGACCCTGTCTCAAAAAAACAAAAGAAAAGGCATGAGAGACATGACTTTCTCTTCACCATGTGAGGACACAGCAAGAAGGTGCTGTCTGTGAACTAAGAGGCCAGCCCTCACCAGACACCGGATTTGCCAGTGCCTTGATCTTGGATTTTGCAGCCTCCAGAACTGTGAGAGTAAACGTTTGTGATTTAAGCCACCCAGTCTGTGGTATCTGCAGTCAGTTTCCTGACAATGAACACCTCTGCTGGAGAATATATGTAGAAAGAAAAGAGTGAAACTCAAATTCATCAGCTGAGCTGATGTTTTTATTTTTGCTTTTTCCAGTTTTCTTGCCACCATTAGCATCTCATCAGCTTGGAGATGATCTCAAGGTTTTTTCCAGATGGCTGGGTCTACCTAAATTTATTAATGCAAGTGGAAATGTGACTGTTGATCCTCAACCCAAACCCACAGAAACAGAAATGTGCAGCCAAATTGAGAGACTCCTGGCCAATCACCATTCAAGAAAAACAAGGCTGACTGTTTGGTAGGACAAAAAAGCCTTGGCCTCACTTGCTAAGGCTAAGGCTACTAGGAGGGCCAAGTTCAACAGCCCAGCTGCAGCCTCCTTTGCTCTGCCTCCTCCCCACCTTCTGACACAGCAAGAAACCTGGCCAACGGAGGGCGAGGGTCAGGGAGCTGTGAGCCGTGTTTAATTTGGCTTTTTGAACACATAGCACCCTGGTATCCTGCCATCTCTGGCCAGATTTAATTTAAAGCAAATCATCTTTTCCATTTCTCCCACCATCTCTGCATATGTCTTCTTCCTAAACATGTGGATTGATTATTTATAATAATGATCATAGTCAACATTTATGGAGCACTTAGCATACAACGGGCCCTACAACAAACCCTAGACTTAGATTATTGTGTTTGACTCTCACAACAACTCTTAACAAGGAGGTACTGCTATTGTCCCCATTTTTCCCATGATGAAACTGGGGCTCAGAAAACACGTAACACACTCAAGCTGGAAGTGGCAGATCAAGGAATTGCATTCAGATGGTCCAAGTTTAGAATCTGTGGCTTGCCCTCTGCAATTTTTAACACAATTGCTTGATTTATTCATTTCCTTTTCCCGCAAACTCTTATTGTGGAGTATTCAGTGCTGAACGTTTTGTCTGTCTCCTTGATTATGGAGCATGGTGGTCCCAGCTGAGCCTACATGACCACCAAATAGGGGACTGGGGAGCCCAGAAAGATTTATTTGCACAGCTGATCCACTTAGGCATTTCTAGATTTCACCTGAAAGAGAAGCAGGAACAGTTTAGGAGGCTCAGGGCAATGGGAAATGGAGGGGACTTTGTGCCTGTGTCCCAGTGTGGCTCAAGGACAGGAGGTGAATGAAGCAAGGAGTATGAAGCCTTCAGTCCAGCCTGTGGGGTTCTCGGGAGGGACTTTGTGAGGTTGGAGTTCAAACAATGCTGTTTCTGGGCCCACAAGACCAAATGAACCTACAGTTGGTGGAGAGCCTGTCCCTCATCTTCTACCTCCAGCAGATTGTGGACAGGGGCAGGGTTGTATTCAAAATATTTAATGCCCAGTATGACGTTAAAGCCAGCACTAAGCAGCTGTAACTAACGTACGCAGCTGTAAACAGCTGGTACGTCCATGCCAGAGTGTGGCTGCCGATCGTCTGCCCTGGACATGGGCACCCAGCAGTTCCTGGGGGAAAAGCAGCAGTGTCTGGATGATGTGAATTCGGGTGAGTACACCTGAGACAGCGATGGGAGGACACTGAGCGGGGGTCAGAACCCTCCAAATGAGTGTTGATGTGGATAGTTTTTCTGGACCTTCAGGCTGGTGATACCTGGGAATATTTGGATTATAATTAGAAAGCTGAATTAAACAACCATCTCCTGAGGTTATGGGAGAAAAACTGGTTTTCTAATTGGTCACTTTCCAAACTAGTTTTGTGCAGTCGCTCACCCCGAACCGCCCCCACTTACATACTCACATCTCTTCCCAGCCCCCACACATGAGTCTGTGTCTTACTTTCCCTAGATGTTCACGAATGATGGCAAGTGTAAATAGGGTGCAGTTTCAGCCTCACTCAGTTTCCTCCATGTGATAAGATGCCTTTGCTTTGTCTACATTTCAGACACTGTTCAACAGGAGAGAACCCAGTGATCTGGAGGCAGTATGATGGCTGGGTGCCTGGGACCAGGCCAGTCCCTGGGTGTTGGCTGCTCATCTCTTTCTCACTGTAAAACGAAACTCATTCCATTTTAAATTTGATCTCGGCAGGTTTTTTTTTTTTTCTTTTACCACCTGGTCTACCATCCAGGACACAGCTGTGAATTGGCTGTTTGATGATTTTTTTAAAACTATTCTTTTGAAACTCTTCTTCTTGGCCTCCCAAAGCCAATAGATCCATGCAGACGGGCAAAGATAATGAAATTGTATCATTTGATCACTCTCATTGCCCAATACCCCGAGGTTTTGCCCAAACCTCAGGGTGTTTGCTCTTGAAGAGAACGCTCCTCTCCTTTATCAACATTCTGAAGCCAAACTACAACTTATCTCTCAGGTATCTGAAAGTCATCTGCTCAGAGGAGAGGGATTGGGGAGTTGGACAAAGCAGTTATTCTACCTTTAGAAAGAACTCTCCACAGCTCTGGACATCTGAGTCTGTTGCATTGAAGGGAAGTGGCCAGGGCAATGGGTAAGGAGTGCAATGGGATCTCTTATTCCCCACTGGGAACAAGCAAAGGGAATGTTCATTTTGGATTACGTGTCTACAGGGTGTGGCGTTATTCCATCACCCTTCCTCCTCTCCCCTGCTACAGAATACAGCACAGCTGTGTCTGTTTCTAATCAGACAAGGGCACCCTTTCCCTCTGTGCTGCAGGAATTGACTTGGCAGGAGACCTTCCCAGGCCAGGGGAGACGCAGGACACTCACTGCGAATTTCTGAAGGGCTGCCTGAAAAAGGGGCCCGAACACCACCCAAACCTGGAGCGTCCTGCTTCCAGAGCTGTGACAAGGGACTAGAGGACTGCAAGAACCCCTTACTCAGTGGCCTCAAACCTGCTGAGTATGAAGACAGCCCAGGAGACTATTAGAATGCAGATTCCTAGGTCCTGCCTCAGGGCTTTCAACCGAGTATGTCTGAGAAGGAGCCCAGGATCTGAATTCTTAACAAATCTTACCGAAGGAATTCTCATAGACGATCAGAAGATTGGAAATAGTAATATAGTCCAACGTTTCTCAGCCACTGTGGCCCCTTTCAAATACTCTCCAGAGAGAAGGACAACATGAGATTTTTCGGAAAAGCTCCCAGTGATGCTTAAACCTTCCCTCACCCCCTCCCTTCCTGCTACTGGACTCAGGGATCAAGAAAGAGAATGTTGGTGGGGCATGGTGGCTCACTTCTGTAACCCCAGCACTTTGGGAGGCCAAGGGGAAGATGCTTGAGGCCAGGAGTTCAAGACCAGCCTGGGCAACATAGCAAGACCCCATCTCTACTAAAAAGGTAAAAAATTAAAAGAGTCCACTGGTGCACACCTGTAGTCCCAGATACTAGTGAGGCTAGGGCAGGAGGATTGTGTGAGTCCCCACGTTTGAGGCTGTCCTGAGCTATGATGACACCACTGTACTCCCCTCTCTGGGCACCAGAGTAAGACCCTGTCAAAGAAAAGAAAGAAAAGGAAGGAAGAGGAAGAAAGAAAAGAAAGAGAATGTTGGCAGATGTGGCCCTGAGGCCACACAGGCTGGAGATCCACACTCAGTGCTCCCCAAGCCAAAGCTGGGACCAGCCTCCGGGGCTGTTCATGGTCTAGCAGTCCACAAGGCAGACTGAGGTTAGAGGCAGGCCCTGGGGCAAGGGGAGGCTGAGGGAAGCACCCAGCCCCACCCTGCACAGACCTGCAGTGGAGATGCACTCTGATCAAACTAGGGGGCGAAGGATGGCAGGCAGGGGGTTGTAAGGACAGTGATGACCAGTCCTGATGCCTGCACAGTGCACACCAGCACCAGCCCTCACCAATAGCAGGAAACAACACTGAGCTCCCCTCCAAGCGTGTCCATGATGTGGCTGGTCTGGGAAGCGGAGGTTTCCCAGAGCAATGTCCAGAGCGTGGAGCAGAGACTCGCTCTGGAGGAAGCCAGGGGAGCAGCCTCCTCCCTAGAGCTTTGGAAGAGCCTGGGTTAAAGGTTAGCTGGGTGCTCAGAGGGCAAGGAAATGCAAAGAGAAGCGGAGCCGCCTGGAAGGGTGGGTCTTGGGAGCTCAGCTGAGCTCATTAACTTTTAAAGCTGTTCTTGCCCCTCATCCCTCACAGCACCTTTCCCCAGGCAGCCTGAATTGCACAGCCCTGCCCGGAAGCTGCTGCTGCTGCTTCAGTGACTCTGGCACCCTGAGAAGCCTGCGTCACCCTTAACCCAGTAATAACTGGGCTATTCAACCTGTCAGTCCTTCCCAGAACCCAGCAGTCCCCCAACGCCTGAGAAAGGAAATGCAGCCTCCAAAGGCACCAGGCCCACTACTGGGAAAATTCTTAAGACACTGACATTTTAAGTTAAGCCCATGGAAGGGGAAAACTCAAGAGAGCTCATTAAACCTCCCAGGTAAAAATGCTGTAATGGAAAAGGCTGGGAAACTGACAAGCAAAAAAGTGTGACCCTTTCTCGGGTTTGACGCCCAGTCTCTGGCCAGCCTGGCCCTGACCTCCCACCCCCTGGGGTCCTGTCCACCAAGGAGTCAGAGTCAGCACTGGCCTGGCTGGGCCTTCTAAGTGCAAAGGAGGCTGTTCCAGGCTCCCTTGGGGTATAAAACATTTACAAGTTGGCAAATTGTGGTTACACAGATTTGTTATTTAAGCCAGTTAGACATGGTTCGGCCCCATGATCAGCCTTTCCAGTTCCTCTTTGTTTCTTTGTTCTGTCAGCCCTTGGCAGTGCGGAGTGACAGAAATAACCCTGACCTCCCACTTCAGCTGCTAGGAAGCTGTCTGGGGCCAGGCACAGTGGCTCACACTTCTAATCCCGGCACTTTTGGGAGGCTGAGGCAGGAGGATCTCTTGAGCCCAGGAGTTGTAGTTTATAGCGAGCTATGATCACGCCACTGCATGCCAGCCTGGGTGACAGAGCAAGACCCTGTCTCTAGAAAAAAAAAAAAAGAAGCCGTGCAATCTGGGCACCTCAGGCACTCTCCATCAAATGCATACATTTCCACTCGGAAACGTGTTATCCCTTCCGGCTTCAACATTCAGCAGCTGAACACAGGAGAGAAGCAGAGTTGAGGCTGCAGGTAGGTTTTCAGCATAGGCCAGTTCTGCTCCTGGAAATCAGCTTTCAGCATCTCAACTGCTTCCCAACCCACCTTTTCTAAGCTTTCGTGGTTACTTCCACAAAACTAGGCATTACTATTGCTTTGAGATTTTTGTGAGAGTCAGACAAAGGTTTGTATTTACCAGAGTTCTTGGCTGCAGGCAGCTGGAATCAATACTAGCTAGTTAAAGCAGAAAGAGTAATTTATTAAGAGGTCTAGACAACCCATAGAATTTTCAGGAAGGCTAAACACAAAACAGACCATAGGCGTAGCTTCTGGAAGATGGCTCCTCTTCCAGTATCACTGGGACCTCACTGCTTCTGCAGTTATAGGCCACGAGAGTTGCACAAAAACGAAAAACTAAGTTCTTTCCCAAGCCACCACTACTGGAGGCTTCATGTCAACCTAAGCTAAAAATATTCCTAATTAATTAACAGCATATTTGACTTCCCAAACCCTAAGACTTCCCAAACCCTAAGAATGTATTTCTTCTCATTTTCCATGGGAATTCAAACTCATCTCTTCATTCATTTAATATGTATTGATTGAATGTCTTCTGTGTGTTATGCTCTACAAATTTGATCAATAAGACTGAGCCATGCTCTCAGCAGCTAAAAGACCCAGTGAAGAATCACAGCCCTCAGAGGTAAGTGCCTCATAGAGATTATCCCAATATGCCACGGGAGCACTTACATTAGAGCACCTTACCCAGCTGGGCAAGGGACGGGTAAGCTTCCCAAAGAAGCCGCCTCCCAGCTGAGCCCTAAAGGAAAAAGAGAGTTGCCAACTGGCACACACGATATAAGCCCAGGAGCAGCACATGCAAAAATTTGGGGATGCACAGAGCTGATGCCTTCAGAGAGCTGTAAGAAGCAACTATTTGAGAAGAGATTGGAGATCAGGCCAAACAAAGGCCTGATCGCTGGAGGCCCTGTACAGCCATGTGAAGAAATTTGGATTTTATCTTCAGGATAGTGAGGAACCGTTGTATGATATATTTAAACAATTGATCAGATTTGCAATTTAGAAAGCCCCATCAGGGCCAGGTGAGGTGGCTTACCTGAGGCTGGGGTAGGAGAATCACTTGAGGCCAGGAGGCCAGGACCAGCCTGGGCAACATAGCATGACTATCTCTACAAAGAAATTTTTTAAAATTAGCCAGGCATGAGGGTGCATGCCTGTAGTCCCAACTACTCAGGAGACTAAGGCAAGAGGATGGCTTGAGCCCAGGAGCTGGAAGCTGCAGTGAGTTATGATAGCACCACTGCACTCCAGCCTGGGTGACAGAGGGAGACCCTGTCTCAAAAACAAAAACAAAGAAAGAAAGCCCTATCAGGCTGCACAGTGCTTGGTGGAGGGGAAAGTCACTGTCATGGTGACTTAGTGGAGAGAGGGGTGCTGTAGGGAGTAGACATGGGGCTGGTTTCCATGTGAAGGCTGTAATCGACATGACATGGGGAAGGATGAAGGGTGGAGGTGTGGAGAAGATGTCAGTCTCTGAGAGAGGCAGGTCTGGGGAAGAATGATTAGTTCAGTCACATGCATTTCTTGGGTTTAATTCCAACAACTCAGTGTGGGATTTTGTTTTTGTTTTTGTTTCATTTTGTTTTGTTTTTTCAGACAGAGTCTTACTTACCCTGTTACCCAGGCTGTAGTACAGTGGTGCAATCTCAGCTCACGGCAGCCTCAACCTCCTGGGTTCAAGGGATCCTCCTACCTCAGCCTCCGGAGTAGCTGGGACTACAGGTGCATGCCACAACACCCAGCTATTTTTTTCTTTTACAGACGGGGTCTTGCTATGTTGACCAGGCTGGTCTCAAACTCCTGGGCTCAGGTAATCCTCCTGAGATTGAGAGTTAGGCGTGAGCCACCTAACCCAGCCTCCAGTGTGGGATTTTCTGTGAGGAGTAAACACATTCATGAGTGTGGGCTTCGTGGCCCCTCTGAGTGGGATGTCTTCATGTCACTGCCTAGAGATAATAATAATTGCTCTGGCTCCTGGAAGCCGCTTTGCTTACTTATTGGTGTCTTGGTTGGTTACCAGATCAGTAGTACCCTGTGGATAAGAGCCTATGCCACTGTGCAGTATTTTCATGGTTTAAAAAACATTTTGACACATTGTTTAAACAAAGATTACCACAGAAAACAGGGTGAGATTAAAATCCTGGCAACTGGAGTCAGACTCCGGAGTTAGATGGAAAAACTGTACTGCTCCATTCCCCAAACATGGATGTAAGATGGGGCTGGCTGATCAGGCACAACTGCAGCAGGTGGGAGCTGCTCCTGGTGACCCCCACCCCACCTCCCCCAACCACATCTGCAGGGACAGGCATTCTCTTCCAAGAATAATGCCATGCTATGCTACTAGAAGAATGAGTGAGTATTCAGGGGACCCTGAATCTCTACAAAAATACAGAAATTAGCCAGACATGTTGGTATATGACTGTAGTCCCAGCTACTTGGGAGGCTGAGGCAGGAGGATCACTTGAGCCCAGGAGTTTGAGGCTGCAGTGAGCCATGATTGTACCACTGCACTCTAGCCTGGGCAACAGAGTGAGATCCTGTCTCTAAAAAAAATACAAAAAAGAATGAGTATTTAGTGGTAGAGTTTCGAAGGACAAAAGCACAGTTAAAAAAAGACTTAAGTTCTCTGGGCCAAGAGAAAGTAGCAAATGATGGGCACCGCTCTCTTTAAAGTACACTTTCCTGACTCAGCTGTCCTCTTTTCCTCCTCCATTCCCACCAATTCTGGGCTACAGGCTTTTCCTCTACTCTCCCACAGCATCCTCCCTGAGCCCTCAATCAAAGCACCTACAATACTGCCCTCATAGGGAGGTGCTATCTTTCTGTCTTTCCCTGAGCGCTGGGACCCATTGCATTTCACCCATTTATCCCCAAGGCCTAGCACATGTCTAGCACAACACAGCAATTAAATAAACCCTGTGGAATAAATTAATTGTGGAATAGCCTGGTTTCCATGGATGGTTATACAGGTTGTGCACTGCACAACCATGTGCAACATTCCTGGAAAAAGACAGAAATTTATTGATTGGTTGGGGGTTTTGAATAGCCAAGGAAAACTATTTGACCATTGCATGCCCTCTACCTGGGAAAATCACATACCCTAACAACTTCTTAGGCCTTACTGCATGGTCACATGGGGTAACATTCATACAGTTTCTCCAGCTCTCTAGTCTGCCCACAAAGGTGATATTGTTCAAAGGGGCAATCTTTCCTTGCCTTCCACCAGTCTATTCTTAACTTGACCCAGGTAATCTCTTTCACTGCTTACCAAAGATATTTCAGCTCCAGCTATCCTGTTTGCAGAATGGTGACGTATTCCATTAGGCAGGCAGGGCCTAACAAATATCCTCTCTGAAGCCATCAGAAATTGTGTCACTTAAACCTGGGCCTGGCAAGAGCCCCAGGCCCCAGCATGTCTCAGAATGCCCAGCACTTGCTGTCTGCCATGTCTCAGAACACCCACCATCAGGACCAGCCAGGAAGAAGGAAGAGCTTTCATCACAAGCACACTGCGACAGGGGGCCTACATTGAGTTCCCCTCAAGAACCATCCAGTGGCACAAGCTTCATGGAGACTAAGGGATTTTTCTAGGGTAACTGGTTTTCCAACCATATTACTCAGGTCATGAGAGAATCACAGGTGTTAGGTCTGGATGCACGCTTAGAAACCATCTGGCATCCCCCTCGCTTTACAGATGAGGATGCAGAAGCTCAGGGACACAGCCAAAGCTCAACCATCCATGGAAGTGATGGGCACAGAGAGTCAGAAAGATGAAAGCTCATGAGGGCCTGTCACCACCAACTCTTCCCACCAGACCTGTGCAGAGGAATCTAACTTAGAAGTTAAACCTTTTGGAGAATCCCTCCTACTCACTCTCTACAGCCCCTCCACATCGTGCAGGCAGGCTGTGTGCTGTTAGAACACGGCATTCTTACTCAGAACTCCAGGCCTTTGCTTCTGCCATTCCTCCCACCAGGAATGCCTTTTCCTTCCTCTCTAGCCATATCTTATGTTTCCTTCAGGGACCAGCTCCAGTGCCATCTTTGAGAGGGACCTCCCTTCTTTCTATTCTACAGAGTAAATGATTCCCTCCTTCACACTCCTCTGACGGTGAGAAACTTCCTTTAGGAAGGTGATCGAGTTGTTTTTCTGCCTGGATCACTTTCGTGCTCATCACCCTCAGATTTCAAGCCATTTATCTCTTCTTTGTCCTTCTGGGACTGACTCAGATGCCACCTCCTTCAAGTAGACTTCCCCGACTGGCTCCCCTCCCATTTTGCCTTCCAATGATCCTGCTTATTTCCTTCATTGTGTTCATCACCAGCTGTAATTTTACATTTGCTCTTACTTATTTGCTTATTAAAAAGTATTTATTGCACTCTTGCTACATTTCAGTCACTTTCAGATGCAATGATAACAGGAAAGATGGGATGCATGCTCTCAGGATGTTACATCCTGGTACAGTTGAGACAAGAAACAGGAAACACCACAGACACTATGATGAACAATTGCAGACGGTGCCGGGTGACAGATGAGGCAGTAAATCCAGGCGAGGGGTGAGGGCAGCTTGGCCAAGGTCCATACCACTACTTAGTGCCTGGAAAGCATGCTCCATAAGGACGGGGACTCTGTACCTGGGCTGCTAGGGCACCCGAGGGGCCACAGGCAGGCAATGCACATTCACTGAAGATGTCAGTGGGTATTCCTTTCTCATCCGCCCAGCACCAGACCCTGAGCCCCTCAAGGGAAGAGATTACTTATAATTTATCTCTGTATGTCCTATACCTGACCCATAGCAATATGAGTGTGTCCCCCCAAAAGACCCATTCTCCATCTCATCTTCAGGGAACATAAAGCAGATCAGAGAAGGTAAGCCGCCTTCCTCCTCTCATTCAATGCAAGAAATGATGCACAGCTGCTTTATCTATGGAATGTGACAAATGACCTTGTATTTATTCTACTTGGCTTAGCTCATCAGTGCTTTGCCAACTGTGTATTGTGGCTCATTTATCCATCTGATACACCTTTATTGGATGTGCACAGATGTCAGTGGCACTGTGGATCACCATAACTCCTCAAGTGGGAGCTGCCCCAGCCTCCCTCCAAACCGAGCTCCCCCCTCCCCGCTCCACCCCATCCCGCTCCCTGAAATCTGATCCCTCCCTGGAAGCACACAGGAATCTTTCCTGTCTGGGAGACCACAGTATCCCCAGTCCCTAACACAGTGCCATGCTTACAGCAGGGGCTTAGTCAATGTTTTGCAGATAAATGGGGCCCTGCTGGGGACTCAGGGGTGGGGTGCAAAGATGCATCACATTGGTGGTGCAACAGGATTTGTTTGAAAGGCAGGGATAGGCTGGGCGCGGTGGCTCACGGTTGTAATCTCAGCACTTTGGGAGGCTGAGGCAGGCCGATCTCCTGAGGCCAGGAATTCGAGACCAGCCTGGCACAGTGAAACCTCGTCTCTACTAAAAATACAAAAATTAGCTGGGTGTGGTGGCGGGTGCCTGTAATCCCAGCTACTCGGGAGGCTGAGGCAGGAGAATCGATTGAACCTGCGAGGCAGAGGTTGCAGTGAGCCAAGATCACGCCACTGCACTCTAGCCTAGCCTGGGCAACAGAGCTAGACTCCATCTCAAAACAAAAAAAGCAGGGATTTCTGAGTCTATTTAGACTGGAGCACCAACCACATGCTTTTGGGCAGTCACTTGGAGCCCTTGTCTATCACTATAACAGGATGCTGCTTTCCACGCAGGATCCATGCCCTTTAATCAGAACTGCATATGGGAAAGCTCAGCAAAGCCATATGGCCATATACACAGAAATGACGGTGATAGTATCCCTATGACTGAGAGCATGGCAAGAAGAAACTGGAGGAGTTTCCAGGTTTCTCGGGGATGGGATTCCCACTCATGGTTTAAGGCACAGAATCAACGTTGTCTCTCTAGGAAGCCTCCCCATCTACTGGAGCCCCTGGGGTGCATCACCGAGTCACAGCACCCGCTGCTTCACTGCTGTTATCTGCTGCTTGTCTGACTCCCCCACTACTCCGAGGGGTCACTCAGGACCAGAATGGTGTCTTATTTATTTTGAAACCTCGGCTCATAACAGAAGGCCCTGGCACATAGAAAATGTTGTATAAACTTTTGCTGAACTGAATTCTTATTCCAACCTTCTCTCAGATTTATTAAAGACACAAAAGGCACGTCTGTAGACTGAAGACGTTTTTGGCTTCGCACCCAGCTCTTGGTCTAACTCAGTGTGTGCGGCCAGGATCCGTAATGATGTGTTATGGAGACGAGTAACGTTGTTGGATACTGAGCAGTGCGTTCAGGCCGCATTCCTGTGGGCACGCGCTCAAGTCCATCATCCCTCAGCAGAGGCCGCGTATCACACTGGAACACACACAGCCTCTGCAACCAGACCCCGGGCCAACGTGTGGCACCCAAGTGTGAACAGTGGGGTCCTTCAGTGAGGTACTTAAACTCTCTGTGCCTCAGTTTCTCTTCTGTGAAATAGAATGGTAATAATGCCTGGCATCTGGGGTCATTGGGGGGATTAAATGAGCTAATACATGCAAAGAACTGAGAAAGCATTGACACATGACAAATGCCGTGTGGATGTCAGCTATTGTTCCTACTGAGGCAGGACACACAGTGGCCTGGTGGGAGGGGCGGGGTTTGATGTTGCAGGTATTACTGGAAGCCTTCTCCTTGCCCGACTTCCCCAGATATTTCTTCCACATCCTCACCTTGGTGGCTTTTGTGATAAAAAAAAAAAAAAAAAAAAAAAAAAAGATGGCAGTAGACATAATGCCTCCCAGGATTCTGTATCCCCATCCCCAACCATCCCCAGTCCTTATCTGGGTGGTCAGGACCACGGCTTCTGGGGTGCATCCCTGTCACTCAGCTGGACTCCAACTCCTTGGTCACCAGCACAGAGCCTAGTGCCAGGTCAATACTTAGAATATGGTATGTGGATAGGCTGCTCCTTGTTGCTAGACTGGCTGGGGCTGTAAGTTCTATATAAAAGAGTTCTCCATGAGGAAAAGAGTAAAATGCATAATTGTGGATCTGAATTCATCCAAGGCAATTATGGTGAAGCCACCCCTCTGGCCAGTGACCTGTATGTGCCCGCAGCTGGTTTAAGGGTAGAAATGTGGCCCAGCTCTGTTGGCTGTGACAGGAAAGGGAGAAGTCTCCCAAGAGGCATCTGAGGAAGATCTCTTTGGTCTAAATTTAAAAAGAAAAAAAAATGCTTGGCAGGAAATCATCGCCTTCTTCTACTGAACGTTCTTGTAGAATAAGGGGTCCTGACACTGTGGCATTTACCCTACGACCATGCAGTGGGCCTATGACAAAGATGCAGGATGAAGATGGGGCTCAACAATATGGTGGAGCCTCGAAGCCAACCAGCGCGCAAGCTCTCTCGCCACATGTTCTTGGAGATGGTATTTTCACCTCCTTGGCTGAGCTCTTGGGGGTTGCTTTTTCTGTTATGGGACCAGTTAGGATGCATTTGGCTGATAGTCACCAAAAAACCAACTAGCCGATGATTTAAATCAGGAGATGGCAAGCTTTTTCTGCAAAGGGCTAGAACATAAATATTTGAGGCTTTGTGGGCCACACAGCCTCTGTCACAACAACTCATGCCTGTCCCTGAAGCTCAAAAACACCACTGGTGAAATGTAAGCACAAGGCTAGCTGTGTGCCAATAAAACACAATTCGCAAAACCAGGCTGGTTTTGGCCCACATGGTTTAAGCCATGAAAACATTCATCGTTTACTTAATTAAAATCCCTGGCAAGATCCCAGGCCTGGCTGGGTAACTGTGACGTGGGCACCTCTGCAGTTTCCCATCCTTCCTCCCCAGGCTCCAAGGTGGAATGGACAGGAGGCCGAGAGGGGTCCCGATGTCCTCCTCACTGCCCGGCACACTGGCCTTGCATTTCATGTGCCATCCTCAGTGGCAAGGCGAGGTGCTGTCTCAGCCTCTGTCGTGAGAAATGAGCAAGTGGGGAAATGGGTGGGGACGGCTCCGGGGAGCTGACCAAGAGCGTCAGCCACGTGACTTGTCAAGGAGACCCAGGGAGCAGTGACTGAGAGAGGAGGCCAGCCTGGGAAAGGAGCCAGGTGCGCCAGCCCCCGCCCTGGGGCCAGGACAACAGCTTCCATGCACACACAAGAAGCAGAAAACTTTTTTTTTTTTGAGACAGACTTTTGCTCTAATCACCCAGGCTGGAGTGCAGTGGTGTGATCTTGGCTCACTGCAAGCTCCACCTCCCAGGTTCAAGCGATTCTCGTGCCTCAGCCTCCCGAGTAGCTGGGATTACCAGCAGCTGCCACCATGCCCGGCTAATTTTTTATATTTTTAGTAGAGACAGGGTTTCGCCATGTTGGGCAGGCTGGTCTTGAACTCCTGACCTCAGGTGATCTGCCTGCCTTGACCTGCCAAAGTGCTGGGATTACAGATGTGAGCCACTGTGCCCAGCCAAACTTATTTTTAAATATTAAATTTCAATTAAATTAATATGAATTTTACAACTTAACAAAATCGCAGAGACAAAAGGAACACTCAGGAAGTAATTTGAAGTACACTGTCAGAAAGGTGTCTTATGATCTGATTGTGAAATAGTTCATCCTTCACAAACTGCATTCACATGCCTTTTAACTGTGTCCTCTTGAGAAGTTTGTGAGGAGGTTTCAGTCCCCAGGTTGCAGGTGAAACTGGCAGAGTTGGGGGTTTAAACTCGGACCCTCTCAACTTCAAGCTCAGGTGTCTCTTCTGCTCAGCACTGTTAGATTGCACAGTGCAGCCCACAGGTGGCTGAGCCTGTGGCATCAGGTGCCAGGTCCGGGGGAGAGGTTCAGGAGGGATTGGAGAGAGCCACAGGGCTGTCCTGAGAAGATCATCTTCCTGCTCTGCTCAGTGGCCTCTGGTCAGAACCAGGAGGAGAGGTGGAGACTTCCTGGGGACCCAGAGCTCACAAGGCAGCCAGGCCCAACAGTCAAAATGGATGAGCTGTCACCCCAGATGTGCTCAGGCGCAGAAGGAACAGCCCTTGGAAGGGGCTTTGGCCCAGGTTCAGTGTCAAGGGCTAAGTTCCTAAGGCCCCTTTCACCCCAGAAATTTCAGGCAAAGGCGAGTCAGGGAGGCTGAGTGGTCCAAGGAGCTGCCCAGGTGGCTGGCAGGACCTGTGAGTCAGAAGGGTGGGGGCTTGGAGGAAGGGCATGGGTGGAATGAGCAGGAGAAGGTCACGTGGTCAGGGAAGCTGTGCCAGCCGCTCCTCAAGGCTGAGAGACCTGGGGCAGTCAGGAGAGGTGGGCAGAGACACCACCTACACTCCCACCTTCTGGCTACCTCTATTCTGGGAGAAGGAGGCAGACATCCCACGTCTGCCCTCAGGACGCCCCATGAACGGTAGAACAAGAAAGAGATGCAAAAATGATTCTCACTGGCCCTTGAGCCCCTATGCTCCAGCCCACTCCCACATTGTGGAGTGTACTTTCATTTTCAATACATCTCTGCTTTTGCTGCTTAAAAAAAAAAAATGATTCTCACCACACACTGACGCTCCCACAGCCACACACACACCCGCACTCATACACCCTCGTATACACTCTCAGCCACACGCATATTCACGCTCTCACACTCACACAGTGCTATGGGACTGAGTGTCCACCCAGATTGGTGCATTGAAACTTAATAGCCAATGTGACAGAATGAAGAGATGAGGTCTTTAGGAAGGTGATGAAGTTACCAGGACAGAGCCCTCCTGCGTGGGGTTGGAGGCCTTATAAAAGGGCTGAAGGAAGTGGGTTCATTCCCCAACAAGAGGACACAGCGACCTCCCTTCCAGGGACCGCAGCAACATGGCGCCATCTTGGAATCAGAGACCCCTGACCCTCTCCAGACACCAAAACTCCCAGCCTCCAGAACTGTGAGAAATAAATTTACGTTGTTTATGAATGACTCAGTTTCAGGCATTTTATTACAGCTGCCGGAATGGACTACGACACACAGCCATACGTTCACATTCACACACATACTCACACCCACACACTCACACTCATGAACACACTTACTCATATACAACCACATGTGCCAGCAATTTTGAACATTTTGCAGATGAAAAAACCGAGGCTGAGAGATGAAGAGGAGCCTCTCCAGCCACAAGGTACATAAGTCAGAGCTGCACCCAGATCTGGGCAATTGACACCTGCCTGCTTCTCTCTCCTGCTCTCGGCTCCCAGTCCTGAGCAGTGAGTGAAGTCTAGGAGGAGAAGGGTCAGGGTGGCCACCATGGCCTGCCAACTGCCACCAACAAGCTACTGCACTCACATGGGCCAGAGACACGCTTTCCATTGCTCATTACCTCGCACTCTGGTGGCGCCACGGGGGCACTCTGAGGGGTATAGATGTTGACGTCGACAGCAGTGGAGAAAAGAAGCATGGGGTGGGGGTTCAGGCCATGGGACAAACAGCTTGTGCTGCCTCCAGGGCAGTAGTAATGAGCTGGTCCATGTCCTGTCAATGCGCACCTTCTAGGAACAACTAATGAGGGCTCTTACAAATGACACCCAGCAGATAAAACACTCCCCTGAGTGTGGGCCCAGACTCAGTCTGAGGCCTTATGCTAATGGCCGGCTGCCTCAGTCAGGTGTCCCAGCTGCCTGGCTCCTCTCGAGAGACAGAGTGTGTGTAAGGTGGGTCCTGTTTTTAAACCTACAGCTTCTGTGCCTCTTCTGGGCCAGTCAGACCACTCTGAGAAGAAGAAGGGAAATTGTCCTGATGAGAAAAGTGAAATCTTTCTGAAGTGAGGGCGGAGAACCTGGGGAATCCTAAACAGAAATAGCAGAGGCTTGTTTTCAGATTTGGAAAGAGACGGTCTCTCTGCCTGAGTGGGTTTTCCATTTGAGAGGTCGGTGTCAGCCAGTGTGTGCAGACCAGGCCGCCTCACAGCCATGCGAGTCTAACTGTAGCCCAGAAGGGTCAGGTGAGCCAATTAAGTCCCTACAAACCCACACCCCCTTTCCTTGGGTACTTTGGAAGGCTGCTGAGGAAAATGGAACCCACTCTAGACGGGGAGAAACGGATTGTTTTTAATTCCCACACACTCCAAGCCAAGCCAAACCTCAGAGAAGTATTTAGAGAAAGGATTTATAAAGTTGGGCAAAGTCAGTTACAGGGACTCCAAGCACCCTGATAAAACCTTCCCAGTTAATAGAAATCACACGCCGAGCCTTCCCCGAGACCTAGGCCGCGCCTCAGAGCCACGGGAGCCCCACTGTGCTCGTTCAGGGTCACCACAGAAGAGCCTCCCTGCTTTCTATACATGTGCTTTTATAAACCCCTCAAATTCCCAAGACTTCGTTCCAAGACACGACGCCTCACCTGAAATGACTCTCCTGGGCCTGGCAGCTCAGACCCCAGGGTATCCTCGGCACCTGAGAGAACATTCTGGATGAGCTGGTGAAACCATGTACCTGGCCCTCGCTGTCAGGTGGCCCCTGCTCGTGGCTGAGCCAGCCCTAGACCATCCAGATCCAATAGGCAGACCCCACAGGTAAAGCCCCCAACGCCACACTTTCTCACTTCACCAATTCCGTTCCCACCCCTCAGGCCCTGCTCCATGTGAATCTGACCCATATATCCCTGGAAGGTACAGCAGCACCCCCCAGTCTGCAGTTGAATGAACCATGGTCCAAAGACAGGTGAGTATGGTGCGGTCAGATATGTCGAGAGAAAGAGAAACCACATTCACATAACTTTTGTTACAATATATTGTCATAAATTGTTCTATTTTATTGTTATTGTTAATCTCTTACTGTGCCCAATTTATTAACTCAACTTCGTATTAGGTATGTATGTGCAGAGGAAACAGCAACATAGAGGCCCGTAGGCGTTATCGTTAGGATGTTTGTCCTGCAAACTGCATGTTGAAATTTGATCCCCAATGTTGGAGGTGGAGCCTAATGGGAGGTGCTTGGGTCATGGGGGCGAATCCCTCGGGAATAGATTAATGCCCTCCCCTGAGAGAGTGGGGAGTTCTTGCTCTGTTAGTTCCCTTGAGAGCTGGCTGTTAAAAAGAGCCTGGCACCTCCCCTCTCTCCCTTGCCTCCTCTCTCGGGCATAACTTCTGCACTCACTGGCTCCCTTCACCTTCTACTGAGAGTGGAAGCAGCCCGTGGTCCTTGCCAGATGCTAATGCCCGATCTTGACATTTTCCAGCCATCAGAATCATGAGCCAAAGAAGCCACTTTCCTTTATAAATTGCCAGCCTTCTGTATTCCTTTAGAGCAACAAGAACAGACTCAGACAATAGGGTTCGGTACGATCTGAGGTTCCATGCATCCACTGGGGAGTCTTGTAACATAACCCCTGGGAAGGGGAGCTCTATTATATTAAGCCTTCCTTTGTCACCTCCTCAGACAACTCTTTCCACGGGGACTTTCTCAATTTTTGCCCAATTTCCACATATATGAATTGAAGCCCACGCTGTGCGAGACACTGAGAGGTTATCATGATGGATTGACAGAGCTTCTCTCCTGGAAGAGCAGCTGGGGAGTTCTGCCTGGTCATATCAGGAAATGTCTGGGGCAGGGAGAGGACGGACAGCTATTAAACCTCAGGAGAAGCCAGAAAGGAGATCATGTCTGAGCTGGGGGCTGGAGGGAAGGGTAATGAGAATTCAGACCTGAGCAAAGATGGAGGCATCATTGGAGAGGAGACGGAGCAAATCCTGCAGTCAAAGCAGGAGCCAGGCTGGGAGGAATCCACAGGTGCTCGTGGGAAGGCAGCATCAGTGCTGGGAGGAGTCGGAGCTGTTCTCCAGCATCTGCTCCCCAACAGAGGTCATGGTCCTGCCTCCACGATGCATTCCTGCCTTGCTGCTGAGTGGCCTGCAGGCTCCTTGACATTCGTCTTTCCATCAGGCACTTGGCATCACCCCTGGAACCCTATCTGGTGAATAAACAGGAACCATCTTTCCTCTTACAAGCATCCATCAAAGGATCTGAGCAGAGGAATGATGTGGTCGGATGGGAGCTTTAGGGAAGTATCTTCACCATCCGATGAGAGAGAGGCTAGAAGGGACAAGGAAGGCAAGAGGCGGGTTAGGAGCTGATTGTGATAATCCCCTCGGCCTGGCTCCTCCAGCACTGAAGCACTGCCCATGCCCAGTCCCCTCCATCTGAAGACCTGACTGCAAGCCCAGTCTCAGTGGCCCAGCTCTGGCCACCTGCCCTGAGCTCCCCTGAGCTGGCCCGGACCTTCTCATCCTCTCAGCCAGTGATTTGAGTCTGATCCTCAAGCCCGGCCATCACTGCATCCGTTCAGGTCACAGGTATTACTGCACACCTGCTCTGTGCCAGGCAGCTCCTCGCCCACTGAGCCCCAGAGGATGTTCCCTTTGTGCTTTTGTTGGCACTTGTGGTGACAGAGGTGGCTGGTCACTTGTCAGGTCCTGGCAGAGTCTCTATGCCCACTCGCTTCACAGCAGAAGTGCCACCTCCTCCTTGGGCAGGCAAACCTGCCCAGGGGAGGGGTACAGGAGCCCTGAGGCAATCTCTTTGGCTTGGTTGTAGAGGCCCACTCTTCCTATCTTGGGAGCTCATAGGTTGTAAAAAGATGAGGGAATGGGCTTGGACAGGACCTATTTGCAGCCCTCCTAAGAAGGGCCTGGGCTTTTCTGACTTGGAGTTCCTGGTCCTTATCAGGCCCACGCATGGTGGGTGGAGAGGTCTCCTGCCAAGGTACCCTGCTTTGTTCCCAACTTCCCCTGCCTGAGTTTAAGTAGGGAAATACTTGGTTCCATGAAAAGCAGCTGTAATAAAGGTAGAGCTTCTCATACACATGACCCACCCAGCCTCCAGCCCCTCAGGAAATGCCATGTGTAAGGACACACAGGTGGACCAAGGCAGCCAGAATAGGTTCTTGCCCCTTTGTGTGGAGCTCTTTCAGGCACTGCCGTCTCCTGGGCATCCCCTTTGCTGCTAGAGTCAGACCTCTGTGCAGACCAGAAGCAGCTTCCGCAGGTGGCACTCTGCAAAAGGCTCACTTTCCATTCCTCAGCCTCCTGTCATCTGGCTGCTGCCACTGCATTCCCTACCTTCTTGCTTGCCCCTTCCTTAATGCCCATCTGTTTGTCTCTGTTTTTCCTGCTCCACTGCTTATACCCCAAGCCCCCAGCATTGCTGGTTCATCCCCTGGTGGTCCAAGTCCAAAGAGATTGCCCACTCCCTAGAAACGAGAAGCTCCTCTTTGCTTATCCAGACCTGCAGATGAGTGAAAAGCCACAGAGAAGATTATGTGGTTTGCAAACTAAGAAAAGAGGAGGTTGACCCCTGTATTAAATACACTGACTCTTAAAAGCTACTCTAATTTGGAAGGAAAAAAGGAACTATTGAAGGATCCTTATTACTCCCTGAGAAATATTGCTGTCTCCCACTATTGCTCTGAAAGAACCAACTCATTGGTAAAAGGTTTCCAAGCAAATGTTATGCAGGACCTGTCAGGAGCTTGGACTTCACCTGTTAAAGAGTAGACCGCCATGAGGAAGCATGGCTTGCAAGCCAGGGAGGCAGGTGATGGCGCTGGAGCCCCACGGTGATATTCGTGGGAGCAGCACCCTCCCCACCTGGGGACGGGTTCTCCTGAGCAGGTGGATACTCCACGGCAGGGGCTTGCAGTCTGGTTTCCTAACCATATTCTCAATGGGACAGAGTCCAAGTTTCGGAGCGCAGAATCCTGACTCTGCCAGTTAGGACAGCCTGGAAAGCCCTGAGAGAAGCCTCAGGAAAAGCTGATCTTCCTGGAATAAAATTGTTTTCCTGCAAGTGGCCCCTGAGTATCCAAGGGCCCCAACGATCCTAGCAGCTTTCTGAGTGGGAGTGACTACTCTTTAGAAAGAATTGATGCCATGTAGTAACTGGCTCCCCAGCCTGAACACAAGAGCGGGAGGGAAGAGCTGAACAATTACTCCATTGAAATCATCTTCACGTGCACTGCAGTGTGGGAAGGTGGTTTGATAAAGCCTGGCTAATGTTAAATCTCTGTAAGGATTAAAGGGTTGATTCATTAATAATTACCTGCAGTACTATTTGCGATTCTGTTGCCCAAGACAACATCTTTTAGGGCAGCTTTCTTTTCATGGCCATTAAGAAATTATTAATAATTGTGATTTAGTGAGAAATTATTAATGACTTCTTAATGGGAGCGGAGAGAAAGCTGACCTAACAAAACCGTCATCTTGAGCAGCAGAATTGAAAATAGCCCTGTAGTTAATTATTATTAAAATCAGTTATAGAGATACTCATTTTTTCATTAAGTAAAATATGTATTGTAGAATAGATACCCAAGTAATACGATTTTGAACGATACAGCCAGGATTTTTAAATGCTTTATTGTTGCTCCCATAAATTCCTCAACTACCAAAATTTGTGCTGGGAAAACTAATCCTTCCTATCTTGCTTTCTTGGGTCTCTAGAATTATCTTCCTTTCTGCCCTCAAAAGGATGTGATCTGCCACATTTCCAAACACCCGCTTCCCCTCTTGGGATCTCTGTCTTGGTGGTTATATCCTTTCTGGAATATAATTGTGGGTGAACTTGCTTCATCATCTCATTTTTATTATTGTTATTATTATTTTTATTCCCTGAGGGGCACTAGGCCTAGGACATCTATACTTTGTGTTAAACACCATATGGTTTATCCACAACACACACCTGGTAAATGTGTCTGAAATGACTACTCAAGCCCCGAATCAAAATGTGGTCACTCCCATGGTGTGCAATGGAAAACTGGCCCTCAAAGAGGCCGCACTGAGCGTCCAAGACCTGGGTACTACTGCCCCCAGTTGAAATCTTAATTTTAGTTCTATCCAAACTATAAAGCTAGGAAGCTTTGGCTCCTTCCCTAAAGAAGCCGCATTTCCCACTCATTGCCATGCCCCCTAATTGGAAGGAGAACCCACATTTTTTTTTCCTGAATCCAAAGTCTTAGTCTGGAAGTGGTGCTGTTCTCTACACCTTCATCTATGTTCTATCCTCTCAGCCAGCTTCTCCTCCCTAAACCAATGGACATCTTGAGAGCTCATGTTTTCATGTTCCTGTGGGAAGTTTTTAGACAAATAAAATTAGGAGATGTGGGATGTGGAGAACAGACAAAAGTTAGACGGAGGGTCAGCATGACTATAAGATCAAATAAAGAAAGATGCAGTTGGTGTTTTTATTTTTATTTTTTTTACACTGGGAATTGTTTGGTGTTTTTATTTTTGAGCCAGGGTCTCTGTTGCCCAGGCTGGAGTGCAGTGGTACCACCATAGCTCACTGCAACCTCTGCCTCCCAGGCTCAAGCGATCTTCTTACCTCAGACTCCAGAGGATCTGGGACTACAAGGCTCTTGCCACCACGCCCGGCTAATTTTTGTAATTTTTGTAGAGAAGGGGTTTCACCATGTTGCCTAGGCTGGTCTTGAACTCCTGAGCTCAAGCAATCCACCTGCCTTGGCCTCCCCAAGTGCTGGGATTACAGGCATAAGGCTCCTTGCCCAGCCGCGGTTAGTGTTTTTAAGCACGAAGAAAAGAAATGTATTTCATCTGCTATCTGGATCCATGTGCTGTAACTAGAGACAAAATAATCCTTGAAGGGACCTGAAAACTTACTTTCAGATGTTTTTCTGGGATACATCACTTTGCTAGGTGGTAACTCAGGCAAGCATAGAGGGTGTGACCGTACTGGTTTTCTTTATAAATCAGATATAAGATGAGAAACAAAATGCATAAGGATGCCTCCACTAAAAGGTCAGAAGAAAGATGGAGGCGGTGGCACACGTAAGACAAGTTAGCAGAGGAGGGGGAAGGTGATGTGGAGGGAAATGAGGTTAAAAAAATTAACTGAAGAACATACATGGGCAAAGAAATTTAAAGATAAGGCTATATTTTGACTAAGCAGGTTTAGTCAGGCAACAGAGACAAAATTCCCTCAAAATTAATTTCAATGAACATAATTCTTTTTTATTATAGTTTTTAAATTTATATATAATAGTTGTGCATATTTTGGGGGTACGTGTGAGATTCTGATACCTGTATGCCGTGTGTGATGATCAAGTCAGGGTAATTGGGATATCCCTCAGCTCAGACATTTATCCTTTCTTTGTGATGGGAACATTATAATTCTTCTCTTCTAGTCACTTTGAAATTTACAATAAACAACTGTTAACTGTAATTTTCCTATTGTACTATCAAATACAATGAACATAGTTCTTAATGACAGACATCAGAACTTAGAAGTTTTCAAGATGGGAGCAGAACAAGTTTTGATCAAATGTACACATTCTTAACTTGTGAACTGACCACCCCAATCAAAACAGATTTGAGCAGCACTCTGAGAGAGGACACGTTGGAAACCACAAAGGAAGTGGCTAGTGGGAAGGTGCAGGGATGGGGAAGCCCCAGGAGGCCTGGAGCCAGCCCTCAAACTCAGAGCCACAGCCAAGCGGACTACAGACAGCCATTCTGTTGCTGGAGGCATCAAAGCCTTGTATGAAAGAGGTCCAGTTCTGATGCCCACACTATCCACAAATGTTAATTCTTCTCAGTGAACCCCAAAGCAAACTTGTGAACAATGAGGGAAGCCTTCAATTAAACTTTTAAGCATTCTTGAACCTCCCCTCTGCAAATACTTATTTGTGTTATGGGTAAGTTTTGAGTTACAGATTGTCGACATGGGGGATGGATTCAAATGATTCAGCTACATTTCAAAAATTCTCAAGCTAGAGATCAAGTTTGAAATGAGTATGGATCTAGAAGAAGCTGAGAAAACAATTCTAGGAGATTTAGACGAACCAAAATGTATTTCTTCTCCCCAGTCCTAAACTAGTCCATGTTTTTGTTCTAAGTGGCCTGCTGTACTTTTGTAAAACAAAAAGACCACCCAAATCTCTAGTATTCTGCGGCCTATATAATCAGTGGGCAGAGTGAATTTTCCTTCCTTGCCATGGACCAAGAAGAGCCTCATACACCCAACTGTGGCCTCACCAGATTGTTTTTAGCCTGATGATGAGCCTCTATTAAACCCAGAATTTCTTTGTCCCAAAGAAGGGTCATGTGTGTTTAACAGACATAAAATCTGCACTAAGTGGGAGTCCTGGGCCAGCCTGCTGCGGCCTGTGCATGGTGAGAGGGAATCCTGCATAGCCCATCTGCTGCAGAAGAAGTTTCCAGAGAGGAAGAGAGGCCACCCAGAGACAGAAGCTCGTCCTCCCACGTCTCTCTAAATGAACCTGGTTTCTGCTTTCCCCGGCTGCTCCCAGAACCATTCAGATCTCCCCTTACCCTCTATTTTGCTATTGACTTGTAGAGACAAGGCCCACTTGGGCCTGCTTAAAATAGAACTCCCTGCGCTGGAGCCAGTTCTATATCAGTGAGTGTGCGTGTATGCTGATTTTCTTTGTCCTCTTTATAAATGAAAAAACTAAAGGTAATTACAATAAGAGCTTTGTTTTTTTAAAATTAAGCTCTTAATAAGTATCATGAACTAGTCTTTTTTTTTTTTTTTTTTTTTTTTTAGACGAAGTCTTGCTCTGTTGCCAGGCTGGAGTGCAGTGGCGTGATCTTGGCTCGCTACAAACTCCACCTCCTGGGTTCAAGTGATTCTCCTGCCTCAGCCTCTCGAGTAGCTGGAACTACAGGTGCCCGCCACCACACCCAGCTAATTTTTGTATTTTTAGTAGAGACGGGGTTTCACCGTGTTAGCCAGATGGTCTTAATCTCTTGACCTCGTGACCCGCCCGCCTCAGCCTCCCAAAGTGCTGGGATTATAGGCATGAGCCACCGCACCTGGCCTCTCAGTTTTATAAGCATTACCTTATTTGAACTTCACAAACAACCTGAGTGGTTATGAGCTGAGTATTGTTGCTATTATTAATCTATAAATGAGGAAACTGAAGCTCAGAGAGGCTTATTTACTCCCCCAACGCCACACAGCTAGTAAGTGATGGAGCCCAGATTAAAACTACTCAGTCTGACTCCAAAGTCTCTCCGTCTCCCTCATTCTCTACCCGTCCACACCACGGTAAGCTAGTTATCTAAAGGTACAAACAGGAGTTTTAACTTTTACTTTTACTCGTGAAAAATAAACCCCAGGAAATTTGAGCCATAAAAGCATCAGACCGACCCTTGGATTGTTCTGCAAAATCAATGCAGAGAAAGCAGAAAGGCTTTCATTGAACCGTGTAGCTAAAAATAAAAGACCCAACGAGCAAAGATTCCCTAGTGCTGGGCAGGAGAGGGGATCAGGGAAGTAGAAGAGAGAGGCAGCCTCTGAAGGGGCTCCCACACAAGTGCAGGGCGGCAGCACCTTAGCCGCAGAGCCCCGGGTGCTCTTCTTCCTGCCGGGACACCTGAGCCCACGTTCTCCTCTGCTGCTTGCCTCTTAGCACTCAAGCTGAGGTGTCGAGACCACATCCCAGAGGGCAAATGGCAGACAGTTAAGGAGCTGAGCAGCCAGCTGGGGTTGCTTCTTCGTCCCCAGAAGCCCCGCCAGCAACTTCTGTAGACCTGCCCATGGCCAGGACCTCGTCACAAAGCCTCCTCTGGATGGGGGGCCAGCCTCTTGCAGCTGCCCACCCAACCAGGGTGCTCGTAGGTGTCAGGCAGGACTCAGCAGCAGAGAGACAAGTCTTTCTGAAAGCAGAAAGGGAGTGCTCATGGGGAATTACATGACTCCCGGAATCATTAGGAGGCAGGTTCGCTTCCCAAAGCCACGCCACAGGGCTGGATGCGGAAGGACCTGCCTTCTGCTACAATTAGGGAGGCCCCAGTCACACCGGGAAGCCAGGGCTAAAACTGCAATGCTTTTTCTAGGAGCTCTGCCCCTACATGGGTGCGTCCCTCCCTGCCTCTGTCTCTCAGCTTAACCCTGCCTCAAATTTAGTCTCGTGACAGAAAAAATGGGACTAATCTGATTGGCAGAACCCACATCACATCCAGAATCCTAGCGCAAAGGTGCTGGGAAGCGCAGACTTGCTTTCCAGCTGTTGCAGAACTAATGGCACAGAGGAGGAAGCTGGGGTGGATGCCACACACGCCCATCAGCCACGAGTTAGCAAAGGAAGCAGAGACCTATTTCCAGGGGACTTTGGCTTCTGAGCTGCTGGTGGTGGGGGAAGGGAAAGGGAAGGGCACTGGGGTGAAAACAACCCTTCTTGCTTTCCTGTGCAGAGGACTCAGGATGTGGTTGGTGAGCCCATCATCTGGGGAGACGCATGAAGGGGAAAGGGGGAAAGAAAGCTTCAAAAGAAACATGGCTGAAGGGTTCCCGTCCTGGAGAAGAAGGGGTGGTGCTGGCCGTGACACTTACCCTATTGCCTCACAGACCTGGAGCGATTGACCTCTCTTGTGCACACCAGGGAGTGGGAGGGACAGGGGGATGAGGACATAGGCCTGCCTTGAAGAGCTTGCACCCTAATGAGAAAGCTAGAGCTGAGAAGCGCAAAGACAGGATGGAACAGGCAGGGTCCTTACAGTGCTACAGATGGGTAAGCTGAGGCCTGGGGGGTGACCACCTGCCTGGCATCCCCTGTGCCAACCTCCACCCCCCAGCAGGCTACTTCCATAGCGATCCAGGCTTCAGAGCATCTCAGGTTCCAGAGAGGCTCCAAAACGCACCAACTCAAAGTCTGTTTTACTGGAAATGTTCATGAAAATCTATTCCATTACTATTTAGATTATCAAGGCACACCACAGGGTGAAGTTTAACATGCAGCAAAACTTTTCTCAAGCCTCTTTTTCCAGCTCTCTCACTGATTCTCCAAAACTTCTCTCTTACTCTCTGCTCCCAGCAAAGCCTTGCCTCCTGGCAGCCCATGTGGGTGCCTGATTTTCTTCTGCTTCTTTTATTTAACCTCTACTCTTAATTCTCTCCTGCAAGGAAGTCTCTGATTCTTCTTCTGTAATTCCCAGCTGTCTCCCCACCACTTGCCTGCTTGAATCTCCATTTCTCTTTCTCTCTCTCCCTTGCCCTGATTCTAAATTGTAAAAGCCCAGAAATGGAGCTGGCAAAGATAGAATCCACTTTCGTCGGTGAAGGGCAGAGAGGTTATGAAGGCTCCTATTGCAAGCAATCATGGTCTCTGTTCACTCCCATAGCAAAGAGAGGAAACGTGAATCTCCTTCTCTCGAGCAGGTAGCTTGGCGTTCATTACCCTTCTTAGGAGCACTCCATAAATGTCTGAATCTCAGCAAATGTGGCCCCCCACCTCCTCCCCATCTCTGCCCTTGAACACTTGGAAGATCTTTAGAACCTGTCATCACTTGCCCAGGTTCATGGCAAAAGCAGACCTAAGTTGGAAACACCTGGCTCTCAGCCTCTCCACCTTCACCCCTGGCTTCTTCTGCTGTCAAACTCCTCTGAGTTTTTAAGTACAAAATGTGACACTTTCTGGTGTTGACCAAGCTGGAAACCAGCAGGTGCCCACATCTTAGACTACCCCTGCCCTCAACAGCAGCTTACATACTTAGAGTTTATTAAATCTGTTTACCACTACTCTGCACCTTAGCACAAGCATTAGTTAATCCCCTGTTTGGAGATCAAACCCAAGAAACATTTAAATATGATCTCCTGCCCAGTGTGGCAAACAAATCATTTCCATCATGGAAAAAAACCAGGGAGGAAAACAATGGTGCATTGAAACCAGTTATGCAACACAATCCTCAGTGATCAAAGTCCTCTGGTTTTCAATTAACGCAGGACATTCAGAGGAAGAGGGCTGCCTGCTTATTGATTAGTTGATTGTTTATGAAATGAAGAAACCTCATCTTTTCTCTATATTCTACTACTGGCTAGGGGCCTGGGAAGTGAAAATTGCCACCAGCACCATCCTGCAAAGCAGAGAACATTCCATTTACTCCTCCTTGCTTCCTGGGTGCCAGCACCCCCATCTTACCCAAGCTAGACCCTAAGGAACCTCTAGTTTCTCCTTCCCCTCACCTCCTCATGTAATTTCTCCCCAAATAACATCACATTTGCCTGAGCTCTGCCTCTCAGATCCCTGCTCTCCTTTACTCCTGTCTCTTCATTACTCCTTTCTCACCAAGACAGTAACAGCAGCTTCCATCCTTGTCTCTTTCCTGTCAACCTATGTGACTGCTAATGCTATTCAACTTTCTACATCTTAGATTGGGTTCTAACTGTCCTTTGACACAAGCCTTCCTTTGAGATGTGATTGAAAGTGATGTCTGTTACTTCTGGCAGAGCCTCAAGGGCCTGTACTCGCTTTGCCATGATCCTTTTTCCCTCTGCCATTGTGACTGACCATGTTCCTGATGAGGCTGCCACATGAGCCTGAGGAACAGAGTGGTACCACCCCACAAGGTCCACATAGCACAAGTGAACTACAATGCTTTATTTCAGTAACGCCACCCGTGTCTTGGAGCTCTATGCCCTGAGTGATTCAGGAGGTGGAGAACAGCTCTGGTTGCTTCCTTCTTTAAAGAATATCATTACTTTCCCAAGCTAATGCATGAATTAGAATCTAAAATATAGGTCAGGCACAGTGGCTCATGCCTATAATACCAGCACTTTGGGAGGCCAAGGCGGGAGTATTGCTTGAGCCCAGGGATTCAAGACCAGCCTGGACAACACAGAAAGACACCATTTCTGTTACATAAATAAATAGATAATCTGAAAAATAAAACAGGAATGCTAAGAGGCAATGTTGTATAATAATAATTTTTGTTTAATGACTGGCCTTTGTCCCAGGCTCCTGGGAGGGCAAATCTAAATCCTTGGAATTTCCCACATAGTAGGAGTGTCTTTGTTTTTCAAGAGGCCCTGGATTGGACCACACCTGACTTTATGCTAATGAAGTGGACCATGGTGGTTCCTAGATAGCCTCAGGATGGGGCTGGTCATGCTAGAAAGACCAACCATGTGATAAGAGGGCTGGGACTTTGAGACATGGAATATCAGTCTGACTTCCCATCCTCCAGGGAGGGAGAGAGCTTTAATAATAAAGCTGTAATCAAAGGTATAGCATTTGCCCAAGTTCTGTGAGTTGTTCTAGTGAGTTATTGAACCTGAGGAAGACCATGGGCACCCCTAGATTTTTGGTTGGTCAGTCAGAAGTAGGGGTATTGTTGTTGTGGGTCATGTTCTTTAATCTTTGGGGTCTGTTCTAACTCCAGGAAGTTAGTGCCAAAATTGAATAGCAATATACCAATTGGGGTCAGAATCGCTAGAAAAATAGGTTAGGTGGTGGACTTCACTGGGACATCCAGGCAGAGGTGGTGCCTTGGAATGAGGAAGTGGAGACAGAATGATATGAATAGGTGAGATCACTTCCACTGGAGTCCAAGCTAAGTCAGCTTCTTAAATCGTTCACATTCCCACCTCCTCACAGCCAAATGAGACCATTTCCTGCCCAGAGACTGGTTTCAGCTGGGCATCAATTTCCTGAACAGGGAAACCTACCAAACTTCTCACCTCCCAGAGAAAATTGTGCCCTCACATGGAAGATGAGGAGAGCCTGCTCCTCTCATTCCAGCGGCTCTCTTCTGCTGGCATTCTTATTCTTTGCACACGTTTTACAATTCACAGTTACCGGAGGTGGCAGGTCCCAAAAGTCTCTTAATTTGTCTTCTAGAAACTTCTAAAAGCACACTCAAACATCAGGACAAAAGGGAAAAGTGTCCCCCTAGGATAGTTCACTGCTATTACATAAGTTTCAAAAATGGACTACCTAAAAGATGACTCAAACTGAAAATGTAATTCACTGATATGGTCTGTCTCTGTGTCCCCCACCAAAATCTCATCTTGAATTGTAATCCCCATGTGTTAGGGGAGGGACCTTGTGGGAGATGATTAGATCATGGGGGTGGTCCCCCCATGCTGTTCTTGCTATAGTGAGTGAGTTCTCATGAAATCTGATGGTTTTACAAGGGCTTTTCCCCCTTCACTCTGCACTTGACTCTTCTGCCGCCATATGAAGAAGGACAAGTTTGCTTCCCCTTCTGCCATGATTGTAAGTTTCCTGGGGCTTCCCCAGCCATGAGGAACTGTGAGTCAATTAAACCTCTTTCCTTGATAAATTACCCAGTCTTGGGCAGTTCCTTATAGCAGCATGAGAATGGACTAATACAGTTAATTGGAACCAGGAGGTAGTGGGGTGCTGCTATAAGGATACCCAAAAATGTGGAAGCAACTTTGGAACTGGGCAATAGGCAGAGGTTGGAAGAATTTGGAGGGCTTAGAAGAAGACAGGAAAATGTGGGAAAGTTTGGAACTTCCTAGAGACTTGTTGAATGGCTTTGACCAAAATGCTTATAGTGATATGGACAATGAAGTCCAGGTCTCAGATGGAGATGAGGAACTTGTTGGGAACTGGAATATGCTTTATTTTGCCCCTGCCTTAGAGATCTGTGAAACTTTGAACTTGAGAGAGATGATTTAGGGTATCTAGTGGAAGAAATTTCTAAGCAGCAAAGCATTCAAGATGAGGAAGAGCATAAAAGTTGGAAAATTTGCAGCCTGATGATGCAACAGAAAAGAAAAACCTGTTTTCTGGGGAAAAAGTCAAGACAGCTGCAGAAATTTGCATAAGTAACAAGGAGCCAAATGTTAATCACCAAGACAATGGGGAAAATGTCTCCAGGGCATGTCAGAGACCTTTGAGGCAGCACCTCAAATCACAGGCCCAGAGGCCTATGAGGAAAAAATGGTTTTGTGGGCTGGGCTCAGGGCCACCCTGCTGTGTGCAACCTAGGGACTTGGTGCCCTGCCTCCCAGTCAGCTCCAGCTGTGGCTAAAATGGGCCAAGGTACAGTTCAGGATGTGGCTTTAGAGGGTGCAAGCCCCAAGCCTTGGCAGCTTTCATGTGGTGTTGAGCCTGCAGGTGCACAGAAGTCCAGAATTGAGGTTTGGGAACCTCTGCCTAGATTTCAGAGGATGTATGGAAATGCTTGGATGTCCAGGCAGAAGTTTGCTTCAGGGGCAGAGCCCTCATGGAGAACCTCTGCTAGGGCAGTGCAGAAGAGAAATGTGGGGTCAGAGCCCCCACAGAGTCCCCACTGGGGCACTGCCTGTGGGAGCTGTGAGAAGAGGGCCACCATCCTCTAAACTCCAGAATGGTAGATCCACCTATTGCTTAGGCTGTGCACCTGGAAAAGCCACACACACTCAACACCAGTCCATGAAAGCAGCAGGGATGGGGGCTGTAGCCTGCAAAACCACAGGGGTGGAGCTGCACAAGGCCATGGGATCCCACCTCTTGCATCAGCATGACCTGGATGTGAGACATGGAGTCAAAGGAGATTATTTCAGAGCTTTAAGATTTAATTACTGCCTCATTGAATTTCAAACTTGCGTAGGGCCTGTAGTCCCTTTGTTTTGGCCAATTTCTCCCATTTGGAATGGGTGTATTTACCCAATGCCTGTACCATCATTGTATCTAGGAAGTAACTAACTTGCTTTTGATTTTACAGGCTCCTAGGTGGAAGGGACTTGCCTTGCCTCAGATGAAAGACTTTGGATTTGGACTTTTGGGTTAATGCCAAAATGAGTTAAGACTTTGGGGATATGGTGGGAAGGCATAATTGTGTTTTGAAATGTGAGAAGGATGAGATTTGGGAGGGGCCAGGGGCAGAATGATATGGTCTGGCTCTGTGTCCCCACCCAAGTCTCATTTTGAATTGTAATCTGAATTGTAATCCCTGCATGTTGGAGGAGAAACCTTGTGGGAGGTAATTAGATCATGGGGGCTGTCCCCCACCATGCTGTTCTCATGATAGTGAGTTCTCACGAGAGCTGATGGTTTTATAAGGGGCTTTTCACCCTTCACTCTGCACTTCTCTCTCCTGCTGTCATGTGAAGAGGGATGTGTTTGCTTTCCCTTCCGCCATGACTCTAAGTTTCCTGAGGCCTCTCCAGCCATGTGGAACTGTGAGTCAAACCTCTTTATAAATTACTCAGTCTCAGGTACCCAATCTCAGATATGCTGCTTCATAGCAGCATGAGAACAGACTAATATACTCACTTTAAAAAAAAAAATTTAGATGAAAAAACAGTGACATCTATAATCCAGTGCCTAGTGAGCAAGGTTCAAATGAGCTTAGCAAAGTTCTAGGAAAGGATGGCTGGAGTGGGAAAAGGCTAATAAAAAGAAGCAGGACACAGTCCTCAAGGCCTCAATCATCTATTACAGAGACAAAGTTTATAAATGGAAAAAGTACTGCAAGGCAAGCCGTGATTCAATTTCCAAGTGGGTTAAACAGATCAAGTCTCAGTTTGGTGAAGAATTAAAGTAATGAAAGAATAGAGCATTACACAGAAGTCACAATTGTCATGAATGGGTTCTTATCAAAGAAAAAGATTCATTTGTTTGATTTTTCAATTAGGTATTTTAATTCTGTACTTCTAACCTACTGAAATTGCACCAAAATCCACATCCCTTTGTTCTCAAAAAACATCTGGCCATACCATAGTCAGGATGGCTGGGCCACCACACTTCCCCAGCAGGCAGGCTAAGAGCTCTTAAGGACAGGTTTTTTCAAAGGCAGCAAGAGGACCATCCATCCCCTCAGCCAGCCAAGGCTGTTCCTCTTTGCCTCCTGAGAATCTGTTTTTGTAGCACTTGGAAGCATATACTAGATACTCAAAAACCAGCCCACTGCAAGTCAAGAGTAGAACAATACCAATATGACATCATCGGTGCCGAACGGAGTGGCCAAAATAGTTAAGATATATTACAGAAATCTGTATTACCAGGAATGATGTAGAATTCTTTGAGTGTAGTGAGAATGGGGGTGAACCCACAATTTACAAAAGATCCTACCTTCATTTAAATGCACTTGGTTAGGAGGATCCCAGCAAAGCTACTAGGGAAGGACCCAGAGCCACAAGCACCTGTGGGCCAGGCTCCCAACTGGCCCTGCTGGTGGCTGTGTGTGGGGTTGCAGCCCAGCCCCAGCAGTACTAGGCAGGGCACATGCAATGGTGCATCTTAGGTCTACGTGGGCTGTTGATCAAGAGCAAGGCCCAGCCGTCTGCAGCAGAAACGGAACAGGAAGCAGCCTCTGGGGAACAGTTTTTATTTTATTGTTTTAGAGACAGGGTCTCACTCTGTCACCCAGGCTGGAGTGCAGTGGTGTAATCAAGGCTCACTGCAGCCTTGACCTCCTACACTCAAGTGATCCTCCCGCCTTAACCTTCCAAGTAGCTGAGACCACAGGTGCATGCCACCATGCTGGCTAATGTTTTAAATTTTTTGTAGAGATAGAGTCTCACTATGTTGCCCAGGCTGATCTCAAACTCCTAGGCTCAATGATCCTTCCACTATCTCAGCCTCCTAAAGTGCTGGGATTATAGGTGTGAGCCACTGTGCCCAGCTAATCTGGACAAGATTTGAATCAGGGCTTCTGTGGCAGGAATAGTGTGGGAGGGTTTCACTTCCTCTGGGAACTCCTCTCTGGATTACTACCCTTCCCCCATATCTAGGTTAGGGTCACAATGAAGGCTCCTGCAGTGTCCTGTTCTCACCTCTTCTTCTATTACCCTGCAATGGAATCATCCATGTACCCATCTATCTCCCCAGCTAGAATAGGTACACCTTGGGGATAGCATCTGTGTCTGATTCATCTTTGTATGGAGCAAACAATATCTGGCACACAATGTGTGCACAGGAAATGTTTGCTACTGTTATTGAATGTGGATTGCAAATCAGGGAATCAAGACCCCATTGGGAGCATGTAGGGCCATTTGCATATAGGGGAGCTTGTTGTCCTGAGACCAAGTGTGAGACTGGAGTCTCAACAAGCAGATGAGACCTCAGCTGCTGCAGAGATGTAGCACAGAGCCCACCTGCTAATCAGGGTGTCTTAGAAACTCAGAGGGCTAAGTTCGTGGTTGGACAGTCAGTATGGTCCCAGATATCAGAGCCTGTAGTTGCATGGGGGGCCAGGAAATGTTACAAGCTGACAATTTTATAAGAACACTCATTTTCAGGTGTTCACTGTCCATTCAGTATGAAGACTTACTCTGAGAAGCAGAGTTGACACCGGCCACCATCAAGCAATAAAATCTAAAATCTAAGGCTGCCAACATAGTGATGGTTCTGCCTTCCCCTATCCTCTGGAGGGACAGAGAGGAGTTCAAAATGCCTCCCTAGTACTCAGTGTTTTGTGACTCAGAGATGGTGTTTATTGCCTGCACACTCTTCTAAGCCTTCTGAATATCCATGCAGCCCTTCCTCCCAGCTCAACCAGAGCAATTGACTGATGCACTGGTATAACCATCTCCGGTTACATGTTTACTATGCCAGGGAGAAAAGGAATTCTTATCGTAAATCACTATTCCTTGCAAATGTATTTGCCAGAATCAAAATAAAGCTAAAGTTAGACACAAAATGGGATGGGACAGAAACTTGCCCAAGCAAGGTCAGAGAAATAGGGGGAAGAAGAGGTCTCAGCATCACTTTGAGACTCAGGACAAGACTTTTTCCATCCGCCTCTTGTAATTCTGGGTATCAGTGAGCCCAGTTGGGAATAAACAGCCCCGAGATCAGTAGTGGCTACTGGGTTTTTTCTTGTAGGCCTGGGGGCAGTGGGACTGCGACAAGGCTATCCAGGCTTGCCTGCTGCCTGCTACCAGCAGGGATTGCAAAGCAAGTCCATCAGCCCAGGGCATGGCTTCCACGGTGAGAACCGGGAGGAGAGCCCATGCTTGCAGAGCAAGTTCTTGGTGGCAAGCACCAACCTCTTTCAGAGAAACTTGATTGATGGCAGCACCCTACTCATATCCAAGAGACGTTTCTGCCTGTCGGCACTGATGACCCAAAGCATGCCCTGCTCCTATGGCCAGGAGGTGGACCCCGGGTCTGCCACCCTCCCCTTCCCTCTCCTCTGGGCACAGGCTGCGCTTCCTTGCCCTTCCTGTTGTGGAGAGTTGGTGGAAAATGAGTCCTCCCCCATGTCAGAGCTGAGAATAACAGATCACATAGTTTTCTTTTAGCTGCTCCTGTCTTCCAGGTCATGTTCTAAGTGACTTACAAATCTCATCTCAATTCATGCCCAGAACCATCTTATGAGGTCCACTGTTGTCTCCATTTCACAGACGAGCAAACTGAGATGCCCCCCACTCCCAAACAAAAAAATCCCACAGTGGTGAGTGGTGGAACCAGGCTGGAACCCTGAAAGCTGACTCTGGGCTCACATTCTGACCCGCTTTCCTCTCCTTGGGGAATCCACAGTGGGGGTGGCTCTGGAGCAGGCAGGATCACAGGCAGAGGCTCTCCGTGTTTTTCTTCACCTTGCCTACTTCAGGAGAGAGCTGAAGGAGGGCCCGGTGAGATGCACAGAGCCATGCTGCATTGTGAGTGGGCTCAAAGCCTCTCACAAATAGTACAACTCCAAGTCAGACAGCAGCTCCGAAAATCGAAAGGGCCGAGTTGATACAGGTTTTGTTTCATTTTGTTTTACCCACACTTCAAAACATGTCCTGCCCCAGTGGTCGCGTTAGCATCTGTCATTGTTGTGTTTCTTTAAAGTCGGGCAATGTGTTAACTGAGCTGAAGGATTAGTCATCTGTCCCTAAAGTGAGATGGCTCCCTGGATCCTAAATGCACTTGAAACAGACAATCCCACATGCAACCAAGAATAGGAAACGCTGCATGGCAAGGGTTAGTGGTGCAGAGAGATTGCAAGAGTCAGAGAGCACATGTGTAGAAAACAGGGAAAATGAAAATAAGAGAGAAAAGAGACTAAGAAAATAGGAAGACATAGATATTTACACAGATATGTAAATATCCACTTCCCCATGATATGTAAATATCCACTTCTCATGGACATTTAAGATGTGTCTGTATGTGTATTTGTTTGCTTGGGCTGCTGTAACACAGTACCATAGACCAGGAGGCTTAAACAACAGAAATCTATTGTCTCATACATTTCATCTGGAGGCTAGAAGTCCAAAATCAAGGCATCAGCAGAGCTGGTTCCTCCTGAGGCCTGTGAGAGAGAATCTGCTCCACGCCGCACCCCTTGCTCCTTGTGGTTTGCTAGCAGTCTTTCGTGTTCCTTAGCTTGACGATGTATCACTCAATCTCTGCCTTCATCTTCATGTGGTGTACTCCCTGTGTGTGTGTCTCTGTGTCCAAATTTCCCCTTCTGATGTGGACATCTATCATATTTGATTAGGGCCCGCTCTGATGACCTCATTTTAACTTGATTACCTCTGTTATGACCCTGCCTCCAAACAAGGTCACAATCTGAGGTTCATTAACATATAATTCTTGAGTAGAAACAATTCAATCCATAGCAGCTTGCATTTTTCTCACATGTGAGAGGGATCTTAGCCTGTGACTTTTAAAAGACACAAAACAAAGAAAAACCTTGAAATGCATCTATCAGGTGATGAAATGCATCTATCAACCGCTAGCTGTGGGACCTAGTGTTCAAGTGAAGAGAGGTGGAGGTATTGATCCTTTTACATTAAACCCAATTTGCTGTGTGCTCCATTTCATGACAGACTTGCTCAGTGGGGCCAGATGCATTGTAGTATTGCCCCTATTTTCTAGGCAAGACCCATGTTATGAAACAACTCTTGTCTCTGTCTCTCTCTCCTACCTCTTCCATTAGAAGATGATGATGGCCCTCATTCGCTGAAGACTCGGGGCTAGCAACAACTGAAATAAAATAAAATAAAACTATTTTAATGGATGACATAATAGGTGGCTCCTTTTGAAGGGGAGGACAGAGTATGGACCCTGGTGCTGAACTTATTGGGTTCAAATCCCAGCTCTGCCATTGAGCAGCTGTGGAATGTGGAGGAAATTCGCAAACTCTCTGTAGCTCAGTTTCCTCATTTGTCGTAAGGGGTGAAAAGAGAATCTCCCTGATGGAGTTGTGAGAAATAAATGATTTAATGTTTGTATATCCCATGAACCACAGCCTGAAGCCTAGTAAGCCCTATGTAAATATACTTAAATTAAAACCATAAGAATTGTAGAGGAAGCTGACTGCTTTTAACTGCATTGGAATCCTTTTTAAAAAATAACAAACTCAGGCCCACTGGTACACTGTGAAAGTCACAAGACCTCAACGGCAGCGTTTAAGGAGACATTTGTCTCCTGCGGCCATGGGGCAGACTGGAGTGAACAGCAGGTCCAGGGTCAAAGCCTCAGCATGGCAGAGCTGTGAGAGCTGTAGGGAAGACTAATCTGCATCTTCATAGGTTTTCTATGCCAAAGTCAGGGCCCTGATGAGGAAAAAAAAAAAAAAAGTGAAACCCTGAGACTGTAACAAGAATATTTGATTGGACAAGCCTAAGAATTTCAAGTCCCTGTATTGTACAAAACCCAGTGCGCTGCCAGAAGCAGCCTCATCCTCCTTTGCAAATGAGAAGAGTGCCCCTGTGCCTGGAACTGAGCAGCGAGAGGTCTTGCCTGAGGCAGGTGGCCTCAGGCAACCTTGCATGATGATGCTGGCCCTCCTTAAGATTCCCTTCTGCCTCCCATCATTGATTCCAGTACCAAAACTTGGGCAAGGTCTCAACACCACCTGAATGGAAAAATAGAGCCCTTGCTCCAGAGTAAAGTTTACATGCCAAGGGAATTGTAGTCCTAGCTGATAAATACTACCAAGACCTGGGGAAATATGTGAAAATAGATGTCGAGGGGTTTCAAATCAGAGCAAGGAGAACATCAGGCTGGATAGGGGAGGACTGATTGACATGGGAGACCTCCCACGTAACTTGGGATCCAATGTTCTAACCAAAACACCTGGAGCCAGTCCCACAAGTCTGTTGAGATGCCTCCTTGAAGATCTGACATAAAGGAAATGTACATGAAATGAGGCAGAGCTACCACCATCCTTATCATACCATCAAGGAAAGTGCAATCAGCTCAGACAGATAAGGTTGTTAGAGTGGATTTACCAAGTTGGACGTGAGAAAGCACTCTTGTCTATTTCCCCAGGGGAGACTAGAAGACACACCCTTCTCCAAGATCATAAGGAATGCACTGGTGATGGCTGTACTGATATCTCACAAGCCTGAAGATGGTACCTTTTTAGATATATGAAAAAACAAATTTATTTCTTATAGTTCTGGAGGCAGGGATGATTGTCCATTTTAGAGCAGAGTTGACAGTTAAAGATGATGTCATAGAAATGGACTCCCTAATATCAGTAAGCATAATGGGATCATAGAATTATGAGGCTAGGAGGCACTCAAATCTCAAATGAAAATTGAATGTGATTACCCTAAAGGACAACAAGACTGGAATAGCCATCAGTGTGCCGTGACTTGTGGACACATATCGTAAAGGCTGTTGGCTATGTTGGAGCTCAGAAAGCAATACCCCAAAATGAAGGCCTCAGAAGCGAAAGTTTTCCTCTGACATTCTCCTGCCCTCCTGCCTCTCAGTCTCATTCTCCCCCAAGGTTAGACAGAGAAACTAGAACCCCTCTTCCCCAAGGCAGGTCATAGAAACCAGAACCCTTTTCCCCACAGCCAAAGCCAGCCATAAAATCTAAAAATATGACTCTAACTGCCTCTGCCACCACCTGCCTTTCTGTGTAAAAACTAGCCTTAAAGAAATTATCTGACCTACCTTGTTTGAATGTAGGTCATGAGACGCCCCCATTCCAGAGACAGCCCTGCCCCACCCCAAGAAGGAAGGAATGCTGTGCAGAGACAGCAGGAAGAATCTAGACAGACAGGCCTTGCTGGGTGTCCCACTGGGTCTGTTAGCATCGGATCATATCCTTTTTGTCCAATCATATTTCTACACAGCTGTCCATAGTTTGCTAAACATAAGCTTAAAGATGGATAATTTCCCCTGTGTCTTTGGGTCTTCATTTTGAAGTCTTCATGTCATGTAAGACTATGATGAAATAAATTTGTATGCTTTTTCTCCTATTAACCTGCCCCTTGCCAGTGCTTTTCAGTGGACCCTCAGTGGACACAGGGGAAGTTTCCCCTTGGCCCCAGCAGCTACCAGATCATGGTGTTCTCCTAACATGGATAGTCGACTAAGGTGGTATTCAACTTTGCATAAAAAAGATTGAGCGTTGGTCCTTTATTCAATTTTCAGATTAAAATGCTTAACACACCTAGAGTCGACTGACTGAAGAAGAGTCCGGGTTTCTCTGAGGAAAGACTTGGCAATACCATCACAAATAATCTATAGTAAACATTCCCCCAAGTCTTTCCCATGTGATCCGAGAACATTTGCCAAAATCACAAGCCCTGGGAAGAGAGTCTGGCCAGATCCTTCCAGGACTATTAGACATGGGTCGGAGCTGACACTGATACCAGAACTGAAACGCCATCATCATCCTCCAAGTAGAGTAGGGACTAATGAAGATCAATATAATTTTCCCCAAATTTATCTGTCTTCAGGAAATACTGCCCAAGGTAAAGGACAAGTTATTGCAGCTTGTACTTCCCACGGCTAAGAAAGAAGCACAGTGCTTGGTAGGATTCTTCAGGGTTTATAGGCAGCATACATGGCACTTGAAAATACTTCTCTGGCCCATTATTAGGTGACACAGAAGGCACTCAGTCTTGAGTGGGTCAGTGAGTAAGACAGAGCCCTGCAACAGGTCCAGGCTACTTGGGCCATATAACCCACCAAAACCTAGAAGATCTTATCATACTGAAGGTATCTTTGATGGACAGTAATATCATGTCGAGCCTCAGGAAATCTCCGATAGGACACTCACAGCACAGACCCCTAGAGTACTGGAATGGGGCCTCTGCCTGCTTTTTGGCGAAAATTAGGCCTTCAAGTTAGCTTCAATGAGCAGTCCCTGGACAGACTCAGAACAGCTCAAAGGCCACCAAAGGTTAGAAACTGGAAGAGCCTTGAGAAATAGGCCGATTATGTTCAGAGAATTTTGCACCATTCAAAAGACTGCCCCTAGCATGCTATTGGACCTGGGTAGAGACAGAGCATCTAATCATGGGACATCAGGTGACTGTGTGAATGGAGTTGCCCATCATTAGCTGGGTACTGTGAGATCCACCAAGCCATAAGGTAGGGTGGAACAGCAGCCCATCATCCAATGAGAGTGCTACATCTAAATACTGGCCCCAAGCAGGTGCAGAGGTATGAGTAAGCTGCACAGACAAGTGGCTCTGGCTCCCAGGTCATTGTCCCTGATGCACCAATGCTTCCTCCTTAGCTTATACCTATGGACTTGAATAGCATGTCCTATGACCAGCTGGCAGAAGAGGGGAAAAAATTAGGCCTGGTTCAAAAACAGATTGGCGTTACATGTCAGTGAGAGCCTAAAATGGATGATTGCTTTACCGCAGCCACACTGAGGGATGATATCAAAAGCCTGCAGTGAGAGGAGATTCTCCCAATGGCCAGTGCCATGGGTCAGCCACTCTGGGTGGAAAAAGAGACAGCCTGGGATAAGGATATGCCTGAACTCCTGGGAAATAGGAAATGGTTTGGTTGGTTGGTCAGCGACCTGGAAGAAGCAATATTGGAAGATTTGCACAAGGGGATCTGGGTAAGGAGCTGTAGATGGACCTCTGGGACTGGGCACAAGGTGTAAGGATCTTGGTGTTTCATGTTAGTGTCCACTGAAAAGCATCCAATATATAAGAGGCACTAGGCAACCAAATGGACTGGCACATTCAGCCCATGGGTATCAGACAAGTTTGATCTTCAACTACCCTAGTGCTTATACAATGGGCCCATAAATGGAGTCGCTATGGTGGCAAGGATGGAGGCTATGGAGGGCCCAACATCATGCATGGGCTCTCCCCAACTCACAAAGCTGATCTAATGACTGCCACTGAATGTCCAGTCTGTCAACATCAGTGTCCAGAAGAGTCCTCCAGATGATACCATCCCTGAAGAGACCAACCAACCACTTGGTGGCAAATGGATTACATAAGACACCTTCTACCTGGGAAAGGGCGGTGATTCATTCTGTTCTAAATTGGCATGCATTCCAGGTGTGAATTCACCTTTCCTGCCCTCAGTGCCTCAGTAGCACCACTAACCAGAGACCTACAGAGTGTCTGATTTACCAACTTGAGATCCCATATAACATCGTCTTAGGCCAAGAAATCCACTTTATGGCAAAGAAGGTATAGGAAAGGGCATAAAACCACAATATTCACTGATCCTGACACATCCTGCTTTCTCCAGAAGGTGCCAGCCTGAGAGGGCCTTGGATCAGGCTCTTGCAGGAGCTGCTGAGGCACTAACATTGTGAAGCTGGTGTGTGGTCTTTCAGGATGTGGTATATATTTTAAGCCAATGGCCATTGTCTGATGCTGTTACTATTTTCCAATAAGTAAAGGGACAGGCATTATCAGATTTACACTTTAGATAGATTATTTCAGCAGTAGTGTGGAATATAGATTTGAAAGTGGGAAAAGAATGGAGGCTCCTTTAGCAACCAAGAACCAAGGGGCGGAGGGAGAAGTGGTCCCACTCATTATCATCCCCAGTAGTCCATTTGGGGAGTTGTGCTTCTCATCCCTGTAACTTAGGTTCTATGATTCTAGAGATCATGAGTCCCAGAGCAGGAACATAGTAAGAGTCCCACTAAACCTAAAGATATGGCGTCCACCTTAGATTGCACCTATGGACTTGACAGCATGTCCTATGATAAGCTGACAGAAGAGCATCTTTGTACAGAAGATCAGCAGGTAAATAAAAGAGTTACCATCTCCTGGTAATCATTGGCCCACGTTGTTATGAAGAGATGGGACTGGAGCCACACTAAGAAGGAACTCACGGGATCCACTGGTGTTACTGTTGCTTGCTACACAGAAAGCTAATCACTGAGACAAGCCAGGGAAGAAGGCTTTATTATTTTATAGGTGACATCAGCTGGAGAGATGGGAGCCAAACCTCAAATCTATCCTGCCGTGCCCCCTCCCCTCAACTAAAGTGAGGGATTTAAATATCAGGAGGGACAAGGAAGAAGAGTTGGTCAACCAGCAGCCAATTCCTTTCATTGTACAAATGTAAGTTTCTCAAGCTTCAGTTCTGTGGGCATCTGGCTTGTTGGAAAACTGGGCTGATTTCACAGGGACGTGTCTAGGCGTTCTCTCACCTAGTTTTGACTGGGAATGGGCAAGTGCAACACCACAGCCTGATGAGAGCACGGCAAGTAGGGGTGCAGACCCCTCGGGGGTAAAGGTCTGTCAGGCCACCAGGCAACCCACGGAGAGCAGCAGAAGTGCAGGAGAAGGAGGCAGGGAATCTACAGCGACGGCAGAGGCGGGGCACAATAAATATCAGTTACGGTGTCAGGAGTCATTTCAGCAGCAGAGGCTATAACTTGTCCCACTAATCTTCCTCCTTTAAGTATTTCCTTAGGATTTGTGACAAGCCACCATCTTGAAGGAGCCCCGACCAGGAGGAGTGAGCTTGGTGTGAGATGCAAGCATAGCTGAGCAGTTGCAGGGGGTGGATTGTAGCTGACCCCACTGGTCCTCTGCTCAGGTCCCCTAGGACCCCTCTGACTGTTTGTGAGCCCATTACACAGCTTTTGCATGCTCTTGCCTGCAGTGGCCCATACATGCTACTTGTGAGCTATTGGAGAGTTTACCTGCATCCCACCCACACCTGCCACGAGGCGACCCTTAGCCGATGCCTGATGGGTGCCAAAGTGTAAAAACCCAGCTCTCTTGCTTGAACGGAAACAAAACTGAGATGTGGTTTGCACTCCAAAATTGCTCTGTGGGCTCGCTGCAGCTGGAACTTTGGATGCAAATCCTTGCTTGGCTTCCTCCTTCCCTTCCCACTTCCAACATCCCTTGCTGGTTCCTCTTGGGACCTGTGCCCTCATCAATCACACACCCCTGAGTCCTCCTCTCAGAGGCTGCTTCTGATCTCAAACAGCCTCTGCTGTGTGCTGGGCCATGCTCCTAAACGTGGCTTTCCCCAGCCGCACCAGCACCAGCTCCTGAGGCACTCCATCAGCCCGGCATCGTTGCACACTCCTGGCCCGAACCCCCTTATTCTCATGCCCCAATCGTAGGCCCCCTCGGGGTTCTTGCTCAAGCTGACACCCCGCCGGGAAGGCTTGCTCTCTTCTCTCCTCAACTCAGTCCTCATCATCCTGCTCTCTAAAGCCTCCTCCCACGCTTCTGATCCCAAGTGGCTTCCACGCCTCTGAATTCCTGTCACATTCATATCCAAGACCACCCCCAAACAGTGTAACGTCAGCATCTGTGGCAGAGGGGAGAGAAGCCCCAGGAGGTGTCGTCTGCCTGCCTTTTGGTGCAAGCTGGTGTATGAGTCGATCAGGCTGAACCGAGCACCACTGACCGGGCAGCTTAAGCACAGCTTATTTCCTCGCGACTCTGGAGGCGGGAAGTCTGAGACGCAGGTGCCGGCAGGCTCAGTTCCTGCAGAGACCTGTCCGCGGCTTGCAGACGGCCATCTTCCGTGTCCTCACAGGGTCTTCCCCATGTGTGTCTGTGTCCTCATTTCCTAGTCAGATTGGATGAGGGCCCACTTTAATTACCTGTTTGAAGACACTATCTCCAAATACATTCTGAGGTGCCGGGGGTTAGGACATGTAAATTCTGGGGGATACAACTGAGCCCGCACATCAGGCTCTGGCTTGAGCCTCAGGGAGCATCCCTGTGTGACTCCGAACTGCTCAAGAGCGTGGGGGTCAGGAACTGGGGGAGCGCTTAGGAGTGGACCTGATCACTCGCTCAGCGGTCCCTCTCCCCCGCTTGCCCACCTTCCTTCCCATAGGTGCTGACTTCAGACAGACAGGACTTGACTCCTGGCTCTGTCTCCCGGATCGGACGCGTGAGAGGCTACTTAATCTCCCTGGGCCTCGATTCCCTCGTCCATGAAATGAGGGTGATGCCCTCTATCTTAGTGAGCCCCAGAGAAAGACACTGGTGTGAAGACGCCGGCCTGGGGCAAGTGTGCACCAGGGCCCCGCTGTTTCTTCCCCCAGGGCGACTTCCAAGCCTGCGAATGCCGGCTCTTGTTTGGGGACTCCCACAAACGTTTACACGGGATTTGGATAACCTACAATTCTTGACTTAAGCTTCATTAGGATTTTAAACTCCGAGGGGAGAGCTCATGTCTGACTTTCTTCGTATTCCACCGAACAGGGCCAGGGCAGAGAGGCCTCTCTGCTTGTGGACTCTGGTCCCTGCACTTCAGTCCTGTTGTCACCAGACATTATCTCAGCAACCACAGACACCTCAGGGAAATCCGCCCTTCACCGCGAGCCAGGAGTGTCCTGCCCCAGACTTTCCCACAGGGCCATGACCACCCTGGAAGCACAGCGCTGCTCAGTGGGCTGCGGTCCTGGGCCCTTATCTCATCAGCACACAAGCCCGTTATTCAGCCGTATTTACATAACCCTTCCCTCCCGCCTGCCTCCCACCTCCAGCTGCTCCCTGGGCACAAAGCTCCGGTTTCACTTAATCAACCATGCAGTCTGGTGTCCCAGGTAACAAGCCATCCATTTGTGTTGGCAGCATTTGAAGGTGAGGGGCAGATAACCCTGAGCCCTGCCAGTGGCTCCGCTGACAGCACTGGGAGTCCTGGGCCACTTCCTCAAGCAATACATCCAGAGCAAGGGTTCCTCTGGGAACACAAAATCACTCCCTCTGTGTCCAGACTCACATGATAAGACTTCTTACAGCAGCTCACTTTCCTCTGAGGACAGAACGCAGGACAACCAGGGCACCTGTCTGTCTTGATGGCATCTTCCCCCACACGCTTTCCATGGAGCAGCAGCAGATGACAACCTTCACCATGCACAAACGCCATGCCCAGCCCTTCACACGCGGTGCACAGTGGCTCACACACTGTGGTGCATCAAGGAGCATCTCACACGGGGTGTTGCACAGAGTACCACGGAGTATCACACACAGCATCACACACAGCACCACACAGAGAGTATCACACACAGCATCACACACAGTATCACACACAGCATCACACAGAGAGTATCACACACAGCATCACAGAGCATCTCACACAGGGTGTTGCACAGAGTACCACAGAGTAGCTCACACACAGCATCACACACAGTATCACGGAGCATCTCCCACAGGGTATCACACAGAGTATCACAGAATATCTCACACAGCATCACACAGAGTATCACAGAGCATCTCACACACAGTATCACACTGAGTATCACAGAGTATCTCACACAGAATATTACACACAGTATCCCAGAGTATCTCACACACAGTATCACACAGAGTGTCACAGAGTAACTCAAACAAAACATCACACACAGTATCCCAGAGTATCTCATACACCACATCACACACAGTATCACACAGAGTATCACAGGGTAACTCAAACATAGCATCACACACAGTATCCCAGAGTATCTCACACACAGCATCACACAGTATCACAGAGTATTTCACACACAGTATCACAGAGTAACTTCACATACAGCATCACACAAAGTATCTCACACACAGCATCTCACAGAGTATCACAGAGTACCTTACATACAGCATCACACACGGCACCACACACAGTATTACACAGAGTATCTCATACACAGCATCACACATCATATCTCACACACTGTATCATACATATAGTATCACGCAGACTATTTCACATAGTATCTCACTTAGTATCTATCTCACATATGGTATTACACAGAGTATCTCACACAGTGTTACACATATTCTCTCATACCTAATATCCCACACATAGCATCATGCATAGTATCTCAAATAGTATCACACAAAGTATCATCCACACAGCATCTTCACAGCCCTGTGAAGTGTTAAGTGCTGTTCTCCCTATTTCACAGATGAGGACACTGAGGCTAAGTGTCTTGTCTTAGGTTCTAGCTGGCAAGTGGTAAATCCACTCTGGCTGTAAAACTTGTGCCCTTGAGCACCTCACTCCCATGGTGTCCAAGTGGCTCAGCTGGCCCAGAGCCACACTGGCTCAGCCCTCAGAACCAGGCTGTATCCCTGGAACTCTGCTTCCTCAGAAATCCCCCTTCGTAAAGCCCACAGGTAATGATTCTGGCACATTACTAAGTTTTGGGGCCACTAGACTAGACAGTCCCTAAGGTTCCTGCCATCCTTAGAAGTTCTCTGGCTCTGAGAGATTTTAAGGAGAAAAGACAAGTCATGTTAAGTGAAATAAGCAAGGCACAGAAAGACAAATTTTGCATTTTCTCACTTATGTGGAGATAAAAATTTTAAAACTTGAACTCACGGAGATAGAGGAGAATGATGGTTGCCAGGGGCTAGGAAGGGTAGTAGTGGGGCGGGGGGATAAGTGAGGATGGTTAACGAGTACAAAACTATAGTCAGATAGAATTAGTAAGATCTAGTATTCAGTACCACAATAGAGTGACCATAGGTAACAATAATTTATTGTATATTTTAAAATAACTAAAAGAGTGAAATTAGAATGTCCTAACACACAGAAATGATGAATGCTTCAGGTGATGGATACTCCAATTACCCTGACTTGACCACTATACATTGCATGCCTGTATCAAAGCATCACAGGTACCCCATGAATACAAGCAACTGTTATGTACCCATAATAATTAAAAACAAAAAGTTAATTTGAAAAAGAAAGGACAAGTCAATACCCGCAGCCTTTCCCTTGTGTTGAGATGGCTGGTGACCACCCCCTCCCCGTGCCACTTGTATCCTCTCAGCCACTCTCCCCATCACGTGAACCATCTGGCTTCGCAGGAGGACAATGAGCCCCTCCGAGGAAGGCAGGCTCTGGATCCCTGGTGCTCAACTTCCTTCCAAAGCTCTCGGCCTTCAGAGCCAGAGATGGCCTGAGGGGAAGGGGCCTCAGCAGCCATGTCATTCCTCCCCAGAAAGACTGAGGAGCACAGAGGTGAAAGGCCTGGGTACAGCACCTCCGAAGGGTTAGGGTATCGCTTCACTTATAGTCCACATCCTCTGGGCCTAAAAGTGGGAAGGAGGCATTTCAGCTCAGGGTCAAAAACACACCTGTCTTCATTCTGACAGGTCGAGTTGATCTCTGACATGTCTAAAGCACAATCCGAATATAAAAATAGGAGTTTTGGGAGATGCCTTTAAACAGGAGATCAGTCCTGTCTTGCAAGATATCCCCACCCAGGCCTACCTCGGAGATCGTGCATGTTCAGTTCCACACCACTGAAATAAAGAGAGTATCACAATAAAGTGAGTCACCAATTGTTTTTTAGTTTCCCAGTGCAATATAAAAGTTATGTTTACACTATGCTGTAGTCTCTTAAGTGTACAGTAGCACTGCATCTTAAAAAAATGTAAATATCTTAATTAGAAAAAGCTTCCTAGGTGTGGCGGCTCACATCTGTAATCCTAGCAATTTGGAAGCTGAAGTGAGGGAATCGCTTGAGGCCAGGAGTCGGAGACAGACTGGGCAACATAGTGAGATGCTGTTTCTTAAAAAAAAAAAAAAAAAAAAAAAAATTAGCCAGGCGTGGTGGTGCACATCTATAGTCCTAGCTACTCAGGAAGCTGAGGTGGGAGCCCAGAGGTTCAAGGCTGCAGTGAGCTATGATCATGCCACTGCACTCCAGCCTGGGTGACAGAGCAAGACTTAGACTCTTAAAAAAATAAATAACAACAACAAAAACTTTATTGCTAAAAAATGCTAATGATCACCCGGGTGCAGTGTCTCACTCCTGTAATCCCAGCACTTTGGGAGGCCAAGGTGGGTGGATCATGAGGTCAGGAGCTCAAGACCAGCCTGGTCAAGATGGTGAAACTTTGTCTCTACTAAGAATACAAAAAAATTAGCCAGGTGTGATCGTGGGCGCCTGTAATCCCAGCTACTCGGGAGGCTGAGGCAGAGAATTGCTTGAACCCAGGAGGCAGAGGTTGCAGTGAGCCGAGATCATGCCCCTGCACTCCAGCCTAGGCAACAGAGCGAGACTTTGTCTCAAAAAAAAAAAAAAAAAAAAAAAAAGCTAATGGTCATCTGAGCCTTCAGCGAGTCATAATCTTTTTGCTGGTGGAGGGTCTTGCCTGGGTGTTGATGAAGTCATAATTTTTTTGCTGGTGGAGGGTCTTGCCTGGATGTTGATGGCTGCTGACCGATTAGAGTGGTGGTTAGTGAAGGCTGGGGTAGCTGTGGCAATTTCTCAAAATAAGACAAAAATGAAGGTTGCCACTTTGATTGACTCTTCTTTTCGCGAAAGAGTTCTCTGTGGCATGTGATGCTGTTGGATACCACTTTACTCACAGTAGAACTTCTTCCAAAATTGTAGCCAATCCTTTCAAACCCTGCTGCTGCCTTATCAATTAAGTTTACATAATATTCTAATTCCTTTGTTGTAATTGCAACAATGTTCGCAGAATCTTCACTGGGAGTAGATTTCATCTCAAGAAACCACTTTCTTTGCTCCTGCATAAGAAGCAACTCCTTACCCACTGAACGTTTATCATGAGATTGCAAGAATACAATCACATCTTTGGTCTCTACTTCTAACTCTAGTTCTCTTGCTATTTCCACATCTGCAGTTACTTCCTCCATGAAAGTCTTGAAGCCTCAAAGTCATCCATGAGGATTGGTATCAACTTCTTCCAAACTCCTGTTAATGCTGATATTTTAACTTCCTTCTATGAATCACAAATGTTCTTTTTTTTCTCTCTCATATGTCTTAACTGTGAAAACAAATGTCCATAATGGCATCTACAATGCTGAATCCCTTCCAGAAGGTTTTCAGTTTACTTTGCCTATATCAATCAATCAGTCATTATCTATGTCAGCTTTTGCCTTACAAACTATACTTCTTAAATAATAAGACTTGAAGTTCAAAATGACTCCTTGATCCATGGGCTGCAGAATGAATATTATGTTAGTTGGCATGAAAACAACATCTCCATCAGCTCTTGGGTGACTAGGCATATTGCCAATGAACTGTAATATTTTGAAAGGAATCTTTTTTTCTGAGCAGTAGGTCTCACCAGTAGACTTAAAATATTCAGTAAACCACGCTGTAAACAGATACGCTATCATCCAGGCTTTGTTGTTCCATTGATAGAGCATAGGCAGAGTCAATTTTGCATGATGTTTAAAGGCCCTAGGATTTCCAGAATGGTAAATGAGCATTGGCTTCAACTTAAAGTCACAAGTTGCAATAGCCCCTAACAAGAGAATCAGCCAGTCCTTTGAAGCTCTGAAGCCAGACATTGATTTCTCTATAGCAATGAACACTTTAGATGGCATTTTATTCTAATACAATTAGGGTGTTTAATATATGTTGAAAATATGCTGTTTAGTGTAGCCACCTTCATCAAATATCTTAGCTAGTTCTTCTGAATAACTGCTGCAGCTTCCACATCAGCACTTGCTGCTTCACCCTGTACTTTCATGTTATGAAGATGTCTTCTTTCCTTAAACCCCATGAGCCAACCTCTGCTAGCTTCCATCTTTTCTTCTTCAGCTTCCTCACCTCTTTCAGCTTCATAGATTTGAAGAGAGTTGGGACCTTGTTCTGGGTTAGGTTTTGGCTTAAGGGAATGTAGTGGCTAATTTGCTCTTCTATTAAACCACTCAAACCTCTTTGTATCAGCTTTCTTATCATTTGTATGTTCACTGGAGTAGCACTTTTAATTTCCTTGAAGAACTTTTTCTTTACATTCACAGCCTGACTGTTTGGCACAAGAGGCCTAGCTTTTGGCCTCTCTAGACTTTTGACGTGCTAAGCTTCATTATTTCTAGCTTTTAATTTAAAGTCAGAGAGGTGCAACTTCCATTCACTTGAACACTTAGAAGCCATTAATAGAATTATTAATTGCCCTAATTTCAATTGTGTTGTATCTCAGGGAATAGGGAGGCCCAAGGAAAGGAAGAGAGATGATGGAATGGCCGGTGGGTGGAGCAGTCAGAACACACATACATGTTGATTAAGTTCCCTGTCTTATATGGACATGGTTTGCGGTGCCATGAAACAATTACAATAGTAACTTCAAAGACCACTGATCACAGAGCACCATAACAGACATAAAAATAATGACAACTTTTGAAATATTGGGAGAGTCACCAAAATGTGACACAGAGACATGAAGTGAGCACATGCTGTTAGAAAAATAGCACCAATAGACTTGCTCAACTCAGGGTTGCCACAAACCTTCAGTTTGTAAAAAACACAGTATCTACCAACCACAATAAAGCAAAGCACCATAAAACAAGACGTGCCTGTAAATGGTGCCTTCTGCACTCACTCTGTCTGAGCAAGTGTACGCAAGCTCCAGGGCCAGCAGATCCTGTGGATTCTGCAGTTTCTATGGAGGGCCCTTGGGAGCCCTTGGGCATTGGAAGAACCTATGAGGACAGCTACTAAGTCATTGAAATCCTTCTCCCCCAGAGCCCTCTGTGGGCACAAATAGGTGTGGCATGTCCAAGCAGCAATAGTCTCCAGTTTGGGCCATTCCACAGGGACCATGTTCAACCAAACCACACCACTGAGACAAAGATGAGAAATCTCAGGTGAGTCCATCTGGGCCAGGGACCTCCCCTCCATAACACAACATCAACAAAAAAAAGCATGTGCTGCTCCCCTGGGACGAACCCTACCTCCAAGAAGGAACAGCGTTGCTGTAAAATGCTTGGCCTCAGAACCATGCCCAGTGCTGGAGCGCCCACCACAGTAGACACAGAAGCTGGAACATCAGTCTCTGTGGACATCCTTTTACCCACGAGGAAGGAGAGGTGCAGGAAGCTGAGAAAGGGCAGCCTCTGGTACACACTGTCTCCTCATTCCCTCCCTTGGTGTTGGCCCCTCCTCCTGTCTCTAGTCTTTATAGGTTGGGGATCTAAGCCTCTTCCCCTCCACTCATTGTGGGAAGCCCAAAAGAAATCTGCCAGTGATGCAGGGAAGGAAGCTGTCGGGACTGGTAGAGTCTATGCTGAAGAAGGGCCTCCTGTTCCACGTGATTTAGCAAAGTTCCAGAGAATGGCACAAGAGGCCAGCACCAAAGTCTTGCCGTGTAATAAAGTCCTCTTGTCCTTGGAACTGCTCCCTGGGTTCATCTCTCCCAGGAAGCCCAAGGAGTTGTCCATTGGACACATGAGGGGGGATCCATGGTCAGTCAGTTGCTTTCATTTCCCAACACACATGGGGAATTTCTCTTAACTCATGACTTTGCAAAGTAACACTGTGATAAGGTGAACAGAATTGAGTTCACATTATAGCATAAAATTTCAGCAAGTTATTGAACAACTAGGCTAAACATAGAGAACTATAGTTGCACTTCAATTTCAGCCCCTGCACATACAAAACTGCATTGCAAGCCTATTTCTGTTATCCCCCTTGGCCTTCGGCCACTGACCCAGCCCTGGTTTGTCCAGGCATGTCACTTTTTCATCTGGCTCTGTCCTCTATCTAGTCAGGATCATCTTCTATGTCTAGGGTCAGGCTGGCTGAAGAAACTGTTAAGTTCTCCATTGTTTTAGCTCAGAATTCAGCTGTGGAAGTACAGAACTTTCCTTCATAACCACACTACATCGTCAAAGCAGGAGCACAGTGTGACTGCTGGTGGTCCTGCACCTGCACAAATGACGACAGTCCTGGAAGCTAAATGCTCTGTGCTCCTCTGAGTGTGCATTTCTGTGAATCCCCAATGACACAGCCACTGCTGGAGAAAAGGCTGTGGCTGACACACAGCATGGTAGAAAGAGATTTACAGACCTTGTTGGCGCCGAGAAGGGGGAAGTACATCCTACTGCCGATGGCTCCCTGGAGGACCCGCCTGCGCCAATCAGAAGTCTCCTATCCGCGATGGTTTCCTGTCTCTTCCTCAATGTCAGTCTCTTCCTCTCCACCCTCCACCCCCAGCTCTAAAAACCAGAGCCAAATAGCAACTGCCCTGGAAAAAGTGCTGTCTTCCCAAGGTTGTAGGTTTACCATTTCATGCTCAGTTTAAAGTGCCTGAGAAGTACAGGAGGAAAAGTCTGTTAACCAGACTACATGAAGAAAAATACTGAGGAACCATAGGTACCCATTAACTGGTTTAACAAGAAAAGATTTCTAGCTGGGCACGATGGCTCATGCCTGTAATCCTAACACTTTGGAAGGCCGAGGTGGGAGGACTGCTTGAGGCCAGGAGTTTGAGACCAGTCTGGGCAACATAGCAAGAATCCATCTCTATAAAAATAAAAGAAAAGTTGGAGGGAGGGAGGCCAATGGGCAGGATTGGGCAGTGGGTCTCCAGCCGAGCTCCTGGGTCAGCTGCCTGCTAGAGGGGCTGGCGGTAAGGGAGGAGGACTGAGGCCAAGGGTGGGTCTCTGGATCCTACCCTCACTCTGCCAGAGCAACCCCACATACATTGTTTTCTGTGTTAGGATACAATATCAGATCTCTTTTAACCAAGAAGTTTCACTCCTAAAAACAGGGCAGAACGGGCACTGGTGTTAGAGGTGATCTTGAATCAGCTGAGACCTGGAAGTCATCTTCCTTTCTTCATTTGCTAAATGCCTAATATGAGCTGTTTTTCTTATCAGTTTCCCTTCTCTGCAAAAACAGTCTTGCATAGAAAAGATTTGAACCAACTGGGGGCAAGTGCTCAGTAGCGATTCCAGCATCTATAGCCCTGACTATGCCAAGTAATGGTCTGACTGCTTCCCCTGGGGCCTCCCACTACCCCAGCAGCCACCTTCCTACTGTTGGTTTTATTGATAAACTGGGATAGACAGCCAGGAGGAAATAATTTCTGCTTCTGCGAGAAGCCCTAATAGGCCTTTACCCACCCTCAATAATCACTCACTTGCAACACTCGCCGGCATCTTATTACAACTGGAATTCCAAGGAAAACAAGAAATGCTCACTGAACTCATGGATAAAGATTTTCCTGATGAACTGAGGACTTCTCTGCTACCCCTGTTTATTTCTCTCCTTCTCCTCCTTCCGGCCTCCCACCAGCTCCTACTGACTTCATCCCATGCGGCACATGGACCTGCTACCAGGTCCCAGGTCTTTCTAAAATTCAGGAAGAGCTCTGGCTGAACCCTTCTGAGTTCATGGGGACAGTGACACCTGCTGCTTTTCTGCTGCAGGACAATGGTTTGTTCCCTCATTCTATCAGGGAACATATTTTGGGTTCCTACCAGATGCCAGGTTCTGTTTTAAACACCACGGACACAGAGATAAACACACACAGGTTTCCTGCACTAAAGCCAGTTATCATGTGGTAAGGGAGACAGACAACCATAACACAGAGTGACAGATGCAGAAGGCAGGCAGGGTGAGGGGTTGGGGCAGGACCCAGAGATGGGGCATGCCACCTAGATAAAGAGACAGGCATAACCTTCCCAACAAGCCACTCTGCAGCTGTATCCTGGACACCCAGTGGCTCTGGCAAGGGATCACAGATGGTTTAAGACATTTCACTAACTTAGATTGGGGGTTAGTGGCCTGCAGACCTGTACACTTGGCCCAGGTAACTCAGGTAATGCAGGAGTCACTCTGCCCCAAACCACCCCCTCCAACCATCTACCTGGGGTCTGGGTAGATGCTGTTCTGAAAATCTGGGAGCAAACCAGTTCCAACAACTGGTTTTGCTTTGGAATAAAGAATATTCCTTTTTTTTTTTTGGAATGCTCTTGTATTCCAAAATTCGTATGGCTACCAGAAAGTCATGTGCCTCCTCCCATGCCCTGGAATCTATTTGCCCAGGCTAGCAGTGAGACCACTTCTTCTTTTACGGCCTGAGCTCCAGAAGCAGAGTGGCCTGATGGCATTCTGGTTGTCTCCCATCCAACCATCCCTGAGTTTCATGGGAAGCTGCTTTCAGCGGTGAGGCATCGGTGGGCCACAGTAAGCCAGGGAAGAGTCTTTTAGAGTAATTTACTTAAACTCTTGCTTCCAGGCCTCAGGGGTTTCATCCTTCACTCAGGAAAAATATACTAAGTATCTCCAAGAGACAATCAAGGGGAAAATCATGGCACAGCACTTTAGGAAAATGTATCAACAAGTGAAAATATCAGCAGATTTACTAGAGGAGGGTGAGGGCAGCCCTCTAGTTGGGAAGTCAGATCTTTGACAAAAGAGTTTAAAACTCCCTGATAAGCATTTTGTTGACAAGGTCAGTCTTCATTCTTTCTGCCAAAATTAGAAACCACCCTTTTTTCCTTGTCATAACAACACTGGTGCTTATCACCAATTGTGTGAAGGGAGAAGAGTGATGTCCTTTAGGTCTGAAGATTGACAATATAGAGGAGGGAGCTCTTAACTTCCAAAACCACCCAGTCCAGGAACTATTTTCCCTTTTCCCTCTTACCAGACACCCAGATGGAAATCTGCTCTTTAGAGAAGGAAGGAAATGATACAAGGAAAAAGACATCTGCAAATGAGTAAGCTTTGCCCAGGAGGCCACGTTAAGTGAGGTGGATGGAAACGTAAATCATCCGAGAGAGAGAGGGAGAAAGAGACTCTAACCCTGCCTGCCTGGCTCTGCTTTGCAAAGATGCTCACTCACCACCACCTCACGTGCTCAGTGATGACCGCAATAATGTAGTTGTATTTTCTTCCCCATTCTAGCGTGGGGTAACTTGCAATACTGAGCAGTTTATGGGCCTTCCCCTACGCACTCTGCAAGTTCCTGGAAAAACAAGGAGTTGGCATGCCACATTTCCAGCCCCTCGGCCCAACTGCTTCAGGACCCCTGCCTGCCAGCCTCCATACGTCAGGGCCACAGTTTCAGATGCTCATTCAATGACCTCACACTTGCTCTAGGACAGGGGCAGCAGGCACATGGCTGATCCAAGTTTAGAGCAGAAATACGCAAGACAATTGCAGTTATAAAAGGTACACGTCAGTGGTGGGAAGGTCACTGCTAAAGTGAAGCAGGAAAGACATGATTTCTTGGGATGAGGGTAAGAGCACTTCAGAGAAGCTTGATTACTCAGAAGGCTGCAGTTCTGCCCAAGGAGGGGATGCACACAGACAGGCCTGTGATCAAAGCAATGTTCCAGGGTAGAAGGGCAATACTCAACCTAACTCAATGTGAAAACGCCAGTCCTTTTTGTCTCGTTTTTCCTGCCTTAGATTTAACCCATTCTGGGATGGGCAGGGAGAAAGAAAGACCTTCCCCAAGAAGTGCTGACCAGGCAGTTGTGTTTGTGGGGAGAGCCTTCCTGACAGCAAAGAAGGAAGAACTAACTTCCTTTGCCATGAACAACTCAGAATCCTGGGGGGTTTTTGCTGCTGTTTTCTGGCTGTTTTTTGGCCTTGCTCTGTTGTTCACTGCAACCTCGACTCCTGGGCTCAAGGAATTCTCCTGCCTCGGCCTCCCAAGCAGCTGGGACTACAGGTGTGCACATCACATCCAGCTAACTTTGAAGTATTTTGTAGCGATGGGGATCTCACTATGTTGCCCAGACAGTCTCAAACTCCTGGCCTCAATCAGTCCTTCTGCCTCAATCTCCCAAAGTGCTGAGATTACAAGTATGTGCCACCACACCAGGCTTTAGAATCCTGTTCTAAAAGTTCTTTCTTATTTGACCACCATAGCTTCTTATGAAAAAAAAAAAAAAAAAGCCAGGAAGACAGCTTTCATATGAAGGAGAAGTGGTGGACCCAGGCGCAAAGTGGCTGAAGGCGAGGAAGAAACCAAGAAGTGGAGAGAAGCTCCAACTCTAGGGTACTCAGTGACCATGAGGGAGAGAGTGGTCCAGGGTGGATACTAACGCAGCCCTGCAGTGAGGAAAGGGACCCCTGGAGGGTGCAGTTTAAGGGCTTAGGAGCTCCTTGCCCTCAGGCTGTGCCCCCAGAGCTCTCATCCCTCGCCAGCCTGCACCGTGCACTCCACACACCCCACACATGCACACACACACACCATGATACAAAGGAGTCTCCTGACACCATGCAGGGCAGTAGGCAGTGGCTCACCCCAAGCTACAGGTTGAATTGAGCAACCTGGGCTGGAACAGTGGAGGTCAACACATACCAGGAATACTCATTAATTGGAAAACAAAGGGATTTTGTGACAATCTGAGGTAAAGTGAGTTTGGGGAAAATTACATCATAACCTCTACTTAAGGCTGAACGATGTCATGATAGCCAGCCTCCAGGTGGCCCCCAAAGATCTTGCCTCTGTGTCTTCACACCCTTGTAGGGTCCCCTTCTCACATCAATTCAGGGCTGGTAAGTGTGACTGACAGATTATGTGATACTGTTTGAATACTTATCCCCTCCAAATCTCGTGTTGAAATTTGACTCCCCAGTGTTGGAGGTGGGCCCTGGTGGGAGGTGTTTGGGTCACCGGGATGGATCCCTCATGGCTCGGTGCCATTTTCACAGAGTGAGTGAACTCTCACTCTTGTTCCCATGGAAACTGGTTCCTCCTCCTCTCTCTTGCTTCCTCTCTGGCCATATGATGCCTGTTCCCCTTCACCTTCTCCATGAATGGAAACATCTGAGGCCCTCACCAGAAGCAGATGCTGGCACCATCCTGTGGAGCCTGCAGAACCACAAGCCAAATAAACCTCTTCTTGTTATAAATTTCCCAGCCTCAGGTATTCCTTTATAGCAACACAAATGGACTAAGACCGTATGGCAGGGGCGATGATGTCTGACTTCCAAGTCTCCCTCCTGTGGGGCATTGCAGCTTCTGCCTTGTTCTCTGGGAGAGGCTGGCCTGCATACCATGAGGATCCTCAAGCAGCCCTGTCAAGAGAGGCCCACAGAAAAGAGCTTAGGGCTCCCACCAAAAAGCCTGGCATTTTGAAAGTGGATCCTCCAGCCCTAGACCAGCCTTCAGATAATACAGTGCCAGCCAACATCTCAACTGCAACCTCAGGAAAGACCATGAGCCTGAACAACCCAACCAAGCTGCTCACACACTCCTGACCCACAGAAACTGTGAGTGGTATCAATATTTATTGTTGTTTTTAGCCACAAAGTTTTGGGATAATTTGTTACATAACAATAGATACCTAATACAAATATATATTATTTAGCATATTAGAATCTTAGAGGGAGTCCTGCAGTAAAAAAAAAAAAAAAATTAAGTATTTAACTTTTTTTGACTCATTGTTTCACAAGTGCTCTGGTTATATTACATTTTTTTTTTTTTGAAGAATGCCTCAATAACATCTCAGGGTGCTACTGTTGCACACAACATAGTTTGGAAAGATCTGGGCTGGCTATGCTAGTATTTATACAAGAGTTTGATGCCAGATAAATTACATCTAATAAAACCCACTTGAATAAAAACTTAATTCCCCCTTTTTTTTTTTTTTTTTTTTTTTTTTTTTTGAGATCACCCAGGCTGGAGTGCAATGGCATGATCTCTCTCGGCTCACTGCAACCTCCACCTCCCAGGTTCAAGCAATTCTCCCTGCCTCAGCTTCCCCAGTAGCTGGGATTATAGGCGCCCACCATTACGCCCAGCCAATTTTTGTATTTTTAGTAAGATGGAGTTTCACCACCTTGGCCAGTCTGGTCTCGAACTCCTGACCTCAGGTGGTCTGCCCACCTCGGCCTCCCCAAAGTGCTGGGATTACAGATATGAGCCACCACACCCGACCTAATTCCAATTTTAGAAACATAACCACATTGCAAACATTTAGGTAGTTAAATGAATCTAAAGGAAATTTTTTGTTAAGTTAGCATTTTGAACATGGAAATATAACTCCCATCCCATCAGCTTTAACTGTCTTGGTTTTTGTAAATTTGAAGCTTATTTTTTATGACTGTATTTAAAGCATTTATAAAATGCAATACATAAATATATATATATATATCTCCTGGTCATTAAGAACTTTAACCCAAGCTGCTGGTTAAAATGGGTCAAGGTGACTTGGCACAGGCCCCAGGCATCAAAGAGGGCAGGAGAGAAACCCTGAGCCACAGTCCTGCATGCCACAGTGGAACCACCCCAGCACACTCATCCAGAGAAAACCCATCTCCTTTCTTTTTCTTTCTTTTTTTTTTTTTTTTTTTTTTTTGAGTTGAGTCTCACTCTGTCATCTAGGCTGGAGTGCAACAGTGCAGTCATGGCTCACTGATTCCAGCGATCCTCCTGCCTAAGCCTGCTAAATAGCTGGGACTATAGGCATGTGCCACCATGCCCAGCTACGTTTTTTAATTTTCTTAGAGATGAGGTCTTGCTATGTCCCCAGGCTGGCCTCCAACTCCTGGGCTCAAGTGATCTTCCTGCCTCTGCCTCGCAAATCACTGGGATGACAGGCCTGAGCTACTGTACCCAGCTCTATCTACCTGTTTTGAAGGATAAGATAACTTAATGCTGAGAAGGGCTTCAAGGAGCTAAAAGTGAGTGTGGCCTAGAAATCCATACACAAAGTCCCCCTTTAAGGTGGTTTTTTCATGGAAAGACCTGGGCACCAGGAGGAGGGCTTTGAGCTCTTGGGGCCTCCTTCCAGTCTGCATGGCACAGTGACCTCGGACTGACTCCTGGCACAGCCCTGACCTGCTGTGTGACCTCAGACATGTATTTACCTCTTCTGAGCTGCACTTTTTTTACCTGCAGAATGGGGATAATAATACCTACCCCCCGGGACTCCCAAGCAGATTATGTGAGAGCAGGAAGAACCGGTACTTCCCCAGTGCCCTGCTTTGCCCCCAGGTGTCTGCCTCCTCAGGAACCAGGTAGACGAGGCATGAATTCCACGGCATTAAGGATTGTAGGCCGGGCACGGTGGCTCACGCCTGTAATCCCAGCACTTTGGGAGGCTGAGGCAGGCGGATCAGGGGGTCAGGAGATCGAGACCATCCTGGCCAACATGATGAAACCCCGTCTCTACTAAAAATACAAAAATTAGCCGGGCGTGGTGGCACGCGCCTGTAGTCCCAGTTACTCGGGAGGCTGAGGCAGGAGAATTGCTTGAACCCAGGAGACGGAGGTTGCAGTAAGTTCAGATGACGCCACTGTACTCCAGCCTGGCGACAGAGCGAGACTTTGTCTTAAAAAAAAAAAAAAAAAAAAAAAAAAGATTATAGACATCAAGGGAAATCCCATTTACCACAGGGACCAATTAGGGGAGATTTTCTTCACTACAAAAGGAGTTTTTGTTTTGCAAAAGGATTCACTTAAAATAGCTTATTGCCTCAACTAGGAAGCCTTCTTCTTTTACAGTTTACAGACAATTAACTGCTTAGGAAATTAATATATGTGCTGCCGAAGCAAGCACAACTGCTTAGGAAATTAAAAGAGGCAGCACTCAGGGGCACTCCGAGATCAGTCAGAAATGCAGCGGTTCTGATAGGATAATGTCAACCAAATGTAAATATTTATAAAAACCAATTGTACACCATTTCTGAGGAATATTCTTAATGCAGGCAGGCTCTCCAACACCAGCGTGCTCCCCTGGTGCTCCAGCATCAAAGACAGCCTCATATCCACTGCTGGCAGGCAGAGGCAGGCTGCTGCTCCCCTACGCTCACCAAAACTGGGCCAGTGCCTGGCTAAGTGATTTCAATTTAGTAGTGAAAAATGAGTTATAATTACATTGTCAAGAAGTCAGTTCACGTACTCTCCCCAGCTTGAGTCTCGAATTCTCCTCATTAAACAGAACACATGCTTGTTTCATGAAAAAAACACCTCTTTTCCTGTTCCAATTTGTTGCCTCTGAAGATTCCACAGGATGTGCAAAGCAGGAGGCTGTCTGGCCCCTGGGGACCACAGTTGTGTAGCCCCCGTCACCCAGCAAGCTGATATGATGCCAGGTGCCTGCAGGTAAGTGGCTGGGTACCCAGGACACAGCGCCTCCTCCATTGGCCACCGGTCTGCTCGGTGCAAATCCAGCTCTGGGTGTCTGCTCTCCAGGTGGGTGGCCCCAGTCCTAAATCTTATAGGAGCCACAGGGCTTTGAGGAGCCTAAATTCAGAGGACCTGAACTCACTGTGGATGAAGAAAATTCCCCATGTTCCCCTTACCACTGGCCACAAGAATTTGTAAGTGCTATAGGTGTATGAAAAGAACAAAAAGAAACCGGCCAGACGTGGTGGCTCATGCCTGTAATCCCAGCACAAGGCGGGTGGATCAAGACCAGCCTGGGGAACACAGAAAGGCCTCATCTCTACAAAAATAAAAATAAATACAAAAAATTAGCCAATGTGTTGACACATGCCTGTAGTCCCAGCTACTCGGGAGGCTGAAGTGAGAGGATCACTTGAACTCAGGAAGTGGAGGTTGCAGTGAGCTGAGATGGCACCACTGCACTCCAGCCTGGGTGACAGAGTAAGATTCCGTCTCAAAAAAATAAGAAAAAAGAAAAACCACAGTCTATGCCTGTAAGTGTACAATCTAGTTTGAGAGATACGTCTCATCCATTCACCACATGGAAAATAATTCAGGACCAAATTTAGTGTCCTCAATGCAGTTGAACTTGACTGCTGCTAGAAAAGTTGAAAAAGCCTCAGAAGAAGGCAGGTCTGGAGCTGGACCTTAAGGAACAGAGGATAACAATGACCCTGACTTGGGTCTTCCCGTTGGCCAGCACCTGTGCTTGTGCTTTGCAGGGGACTCTTTATATGCCACTCCTCTGCCAACACTATGCAATTGCTATTACCATTTTCCTTTTACATAAGGAAACTCTGACTCCAAAGGTCATGTACAGCCAGCCAAGTGATACTAACATAATTTTAACACAGATCTCTTTAACCTCAAAGCCTATAGTCCTAACAACATTTAGATGGGTGGGAGGAGGAAGAGCAGTGCTTTTAAAAAAGATGAATGGAAAGGCAGGGGTTTGAATGAGCCTAGGAACTGTGTTGGAGAGAGGGAAGGGCATCCTTGTTAGCCAGCAGGGGTCAACTTGCAGAGAAAGGGAGATGAGGCCAAATGTGTTGGGAATGACAAGATCGTGGATGGTTCTGCAGCCCTACCAGGGGAGTCTAGACTTGGAAAATGTGGTTGGGAACTAAAGATAGGACCTAGGGCAGAGACTGGACTGGGGCCAGAGAGAATAGGGCCAGGAGCCAACCAAGAAGTCGTTGCAGAGGTCTGAACTCCAGATTGTTAACAGATAGAAAGGAAAAAGCAGAGACGCAAGGGCAAGAGAGGAGCAGAGGGAAAACCAAAGCGTCAAGATCGAACTTCTGTGGACCCATTGAGCACCCAGGGTCCAGGGCCGGGGCCACCCAAGGGCCAGATCTGCCTTGAGGTGCCTGTCTCCGACCAGAGGGAAACTCCCATCAGAGCAGGTGTGTTTTGTTTACCAACATCCCCAAGAAGCATTCCGTTCCTCTCACACCCTTACTGCATTCCCTCTGTGTCTCTAGATCGCAGGAGGAAGAAAAAGGGACAGAGGGAAGGAAGTCCCCTTAGCTGCTGTAAGAGATTGGTACATTTTGTCATTTCTCTGAGCCTGTTTTCACATCAGCAAATGCAAACAGTGACCTCCTCCAGTTGTTAGGGGAATTAAATTAGACAATGAAGGTGTCCAGAAAACAGCACCTCAAAATACACCATGTTGGCATGTTGATGGTTTTAAGTCAAAGACACAAAAAATAACGACAGCAGCGGCAGGCACAGGAAGGGCACTCTGACCTTCTCTAAAGCAGAATGTGAAACTCCCATGTGGAAGGTGTCTCTGCTTACTCATAGCTCAAACAATGGGCCATTTTTCACAGTGCTAAGACCTGAAATGTAACTTGTTCTACATTAAGTTTGAGGTCTCTAGGCCCTTTATCTTCTGGCAATGTTTTGTGCCACTGTGACCTCATAATGTTAATGTTGGGAGAGACTGCGTGGCCCATCAGTGCAGCCCGATGCCTGCCCATTCTCCATTAACTCACCCCATGCTCGTGGAGACTTTATTGCATGCTGGATGCTGTGGTCTCCACGGGAAACGCAAACGTGAAAATGACCAGATTCTGCCTGAAGTTGCTCATAGACCAATAAATCTATGTTTACCATTCTGTTGGGTTAAAAAGGGGAAAAAGCCCACTCTTGTCTCCAAGCTCCTTCTTCAACTGTGAAACGAAGAGGAATAAGTCCTGCGCATGAATCTGTGGTTTGATCCAATGAGCCCTAGAAGCTCAAGTCTGCTTTGAGGAGGGCTAGGACATCAGATGAAATGCAAAAAGGAAGTCCTCAGAAAAAAGTAATTGTATGTGTGGATGGGGTGCATGGGTGTGTGAGTGTGCAAGAGAGAAAGTGCACACACTCAATCCTCCAACACCAACCACAGAACAAAATGAGCACATCTCTCTCTTGTCCCCTCTGCCTAGTGCAGGGCTCCTCACTCTCTGTGACCTCGTGTAAGTAGAAAGAGCATCAGGTGGGAGTCAGGCCACTACCACGCTGTTTTTTTTTTTTTTTTTTTTTTTGAAACAGAGTCTCACTCTGTTGCCTGGGCTGGAGTGCAATGGCGCAATCTTGGCTCACTGCAACCTCCGCCTCCTGTGTTCAAGAGATTCTCCTGCCTCAGCCTCTCGAGTAGCTGGGACTACAGACATGCACCACCATGCCAGGCTTATCTTTGTATTTTCAGTAGAGATGGGGTTTCACCATGTTGGCCAGGCTGGTCTTGAACTCCTGACCTCAGTTGATCTCCTTCCTTGGCCTCCCAAAGTGCTGGGATTATAGGCGTGAGCCACCGAGCCCGGCCCAAGTTTTCATTCTTGGACCAGCCACTTCAATTCTTTCAACCCCAGGGTCCTTGTCTAAAAGGTGAGATGTATATAGCGTTTATGGAAATGAGCAGAAACATTTTCACGGAAAGGAGCCCTCTAGCCTGTGGGGTCAATGGGTCCAGGATGCGAAGCACCTAGCCATGCGTGTGTCAGCCCCACGTACAAGGAATTATGGCAGGCAGTAGTGTCCATAGTAAAACACTAGGCAAGCAGGAGGCCTGTATGGCATTAGATGATTCTGGGAACATTTAAATGTGCATCTTAATAAAATTAACACAAGATACTCACCCCTCTAGACTTACAGATCAGTATTTTGAAACTGTGTTAGCTTTGGATATATATAAACTGCCATCTGTAAAAGCAGTTTCCTTCTTCTCTACCCTAAACCATATCCTTCAAGCCTCAAGGGTACCCACTGCCTCCACTGTGAAGAATCTGCACACTTATTGCATACTGGGCAATGCTAGCCTCAGCCAGGCATGGCACCGCCAGTGACAACATCCAAGGACAAGGAAGGGACTTCTCACCCACAGATGACTAAAGCAGGTGCTTTATTTCAGAATCAGCCCTGATATGCCTACCCAGAGGAAGAAAAGAAAATTGAACAACCACTTTCAACAGAGAGCCAAGGACTTGCCCTATGGATGAAATGGCAGTTCATTTACTAATTAAGGAAGAAGCCCAGAAATCCAATTAGGAAGTAATTGGATTTGAAGGTTTAAAGCTTCATATTGGACGTGGGCAGAGGAAATCCTTCAAATGTTATAAATCAAGAAAAATACAGCCTGCAGCTGAAAAGAGAAAGATGCTTTAAAATAATATGGTAACAAACAGCAGAAATACCAAAGACAATTCACTTTGCTTTGCACTTAGTGGACTTTTTACTAGCCTGCTGCATTTAACCTGTTGGCTGGCTTAGCACTTAGGCAAAGTCAATGATCAAAACATCTGTTCACACATGAATCCAGCTCGCAAACCAAGAAATTAAGTAAATCTGCAGGGTAGGAGGGATGGAGAAAGACACGAAGAGAGAGGAAGAGGGAGGGAAAGAGAAGGGAGAAGTGGGAGGGAGAGGGGAGAGGCAAGGGCGGGTAATGGTAGCAAGGAATTCAGAGGATTGGGGTTTCATATACAGCTCACCCTCCGACAACAGCAGGGCTAGGGGTGCCAACCCTCCGTGCAGCCAAAAATCCCCATATAACTTGTGACTCCCCCAAAGCTTAACTAACAATTAGCCTACTGTTGACTGGAAGCTTCACTGATAATATAAACAGTAGGTTAACATCTATTTTGTAGGTTATATGTATGAGTTTACTGGATTCTTACAGTAAAGTAAGCTAGAGAATGGAAAATGTTATTAAGAAAATTGTAAGGAAGAGAACATACATTCCCTGTTCATTAAGTGGAAGTGGATCATCATCAAGATCTTCATCATAGTCTTCGAGTTGAGTAGCTGGGAAGGAGGAGGAAGAGGAGGGGTTGGTCTTGCTGTCTCAGAGGTGGCAGAGGCAAAAGAAGTGGAGGAGGTGGAAGGGAAGGCAGAGAGGCAAGCACACTCAGTGTTACTTTTACTGAAAAAATCCATGTATAAGTGGACTTTTGCAGTTCAAACCACAGTTCAAGGGTCAACTGTATTATTAGGCCCCCACTTTCATGGAGAATGAAAACTGGAGAGCATCAAACCTTTGTGGGATAAAGACATAGGACCTTCAGTGACTGCTCCACACAGAGCTGTTCATGACTAATGCCTTCCGAGGAGGGATGGGGAGAGTCCAGGCTGGGCAGGTGCCACTCTCGGCAGGGCTGGAGAGTGGGGGGCGCACACTGTTCTGTCTGTCCAGCCCCCTTGCCTCCCCCCACACAGCGTTGTCATGGTACCCTCCCTTCCTGGGAGAACTGCTCTCCTTGCGTCCATGTGTTTCTGGTGGGGCTGCCCATCACAGACTCCTACGCTTGCCCCTAGCCTGGGTGATCCACACCCTCCATGTGACACAATGAGGGACTGGCTTGAGGCCTGCTGTCTACCCCGTGTGCACAGTGAAAGCTTATTCCTTTGTCCTGGGGTTGTTACACTCAGGTGACATGTGTGCCCTTCTGCTACACAAGGAAGAGGCCCCCCTTTAGGAGGAGCTTGAGTCCCCCCACCTGCACCCAGGACTGAAGAAGGGTGAGAGATGGCCCTGACCACACTCACTGAGCCCTTCCATCCCGCCTGCCCAAGGCTGCTTCACTTCTTTCTCAGTTAAGTGAGGTCATAAAGTCTCCCTTTTTTTCAAGCTAGTCTGAGGGGTTTAAGTTTTTCCTTGCAACAGGAAGCACCCTGATTAATAGGGAAGGCTTGTTGCAGCGTCACTCTTAGACCTCGGCCACCACAGGCTTCGGGGCCCACATTTTAAGGGTCCTGCCCGGGCTCCTGTCTGGCTGCTCCCCTCCCTGGGGGCTGAGGAGGCTGGGAGTCAAGGGACCTAGAGCATCTCCCCTTCTGGGCCAGACTCCAGAATCTCCTGCTGCAAACCCAGATCTGCTTCCAGGGCCGCACAGCCCTCTCCCTGGGCCTGTCTTCCAAAGGACAGAACATGCTGCAGGCGTGTGGACTCCTAGGCTTGAACCAGGTCAGACTGGGAGGGAAGGGAGGGAGTCTTCCATCTGCACTCTTTCTTGGGCTCACAAATATTGGGAGGGAGCTTCCATTCGATGCATTTAAACCTCCAAACAACCCATGAGGTCATGAATAGGACACCTTTTTGTAAATCAGCCAACAGAGGAGTCAAGCACCTGGGAGAGAACCTAGTTCAGCCAGAGATGAGACTCTCAAGAACTGGTGACATTCTCTTGAATTTTGTGTCTAACAAAATTGATTAATAATAGGGAACATATCCCAATGCCTGCAAGAAAGACACAGCCACAGCTGGCAGAAGTCATGGGCACAGGCAGCAAGGATATTCACAGGCAAGAAGCCTCTCCCGTCAACTCTCAGAGCCAGCATGAGCCAGAGGGGCAGGGGTCAAGGTTTGCTCACAGACATCAATGACACATGGAGCTCTGAGTTCTCCAGGGACCTTCCAACTGGCTGTCTGACTGTCTCCACATCTCCCTTGCCAGCCTGTCTGTCTATACTAAGCCTTTAATACTTTATGTTTCCCCTTTCCCTTGCCATGGAACAAAATGACCAATGAACCACTTTGTATGCATGTTTTGGAACAATTCCCCCACACCCCTTCTACCAGACAGAGCTTTATCATACAGCACAGCATCTACTCCAGCGAATTCAAGCCCAGTGAGATTTCTCCAGGGACAGTAATTGGTCAACAGAATTCACAGGAGAGCTGAAGAAGCAAACCCTAGGCCAGTTTTCCAAGAATGACAAGGAGCCGTTCCCGCTACAGCCAGTAAGCTCTTGATGGCACAGAGAAGCCACTGTTAAGGTGGCTGGCTGTAGAGCAATGAGGCTCATGCTTGAGCCACAGTAGCAAAACCAGGGCCCACACTCTGCCTCTCTCCCTGTTTGACTCTGCTCAGAATGCAAGTCCCTCATAAGTCATCAAATTCATGTTCTTAAGTCACCTCTGGATCTTTGGTTGTAAAGGAGTCTGAGAGATGCTAGCCTTCACACCCTAGAAGAGAGGGCCAGCCTGCTAGGTACCACCCTCCCCTGATACCCGCTCAGAACACTGAGAGCATTGCATCCGCCACAGAAAGAAGGTGGCCTCGGCACAGGTGTCGGAAGTGCCTCCAGGTTGGAAACCCCCAGCCTTCACTGGGGCATTGACAGCCGTGGGACCTTGCACGAGACAGCAAGGACAAGCTGTCCCCTTAGTGCAAGCTGACAGCACCCAAGCAGACGGGAGTGAGGAGGGGGCTGGCAGGTGCCCGGGAACCTCGGGGACCCATCCTCCAGGCTGTCTGAGCTTCCCTGGGGCATCCCAGACTTCCTTTGGAGAGCTGAGTTCCAACAGAGAGAAGAAGACAGAGCCAGAGGAACCATCACTGAGTACTACGACAAGGCTCTAGTCCACCCTTGATCCTGTGTGGCCTGAGAGGCACAGGGTCCGTGGGCCACTGTCGTGTCTGAGGGCCTCACGGAGGCTGGCCCTGCCCCCTGCCTCTAAGGGCACTTCCTGCCTCCCTGGACTCTCCTTTCTTACCAAATCCATGCAGCATTAGAGCCCTCTCCCCAGAAAGTCACTTTGTGACTTAGGATCACTGTCACAACAATTCAGCTTCAATAAGACACTTAAGGAGGTTTAAAAGAACCACATGATTTAAGTCCATTTGCTTCAGGGACTTATATCTTGGGAGGCCAAGACAGCCAGCCATGCATGCAGCTCCCAGGGTGAGTTCTCCCTTCGTGCTCTCATATCAAACGGCAGGAACAAAAGGATCATAAATCAATGTTTTCAGAGAGGGCCAAGGTCTTTGTGTCCAAGTAATCTCCAGTGCCAGCACAGTCTCAGCAGCACACAGGTTCCATGATGCAAACAGGAATTCGAGAGATGAAACAAATTCCAGGAACCACCAAGCAACCACCCTCTTCTCCAGGTGGTTAATATTAATAAAACACTAGAATTCTTATGGGACGTATTTTTAGAAATATCAAAGGACCCGTTTTCCTGTATTTTGCACTTGCACTGCTAAACGCACTCACTTACCTGTACAAGGCCCACATGTCCCAAAACTGCAGCTCAGAGCTCAGGCAGAATCTCTCTGAGGCCTGAACTGCTCCTCTCACTCTCATGGGACCTTGAGAAGGGCTGAGACACCAGACTCAGGGCCATCCCTTCCACTCCTGTGCTGGAAAACACATTCGGGAAATGGTCAAATGAGTCCCAACAGTCCCAACTTTTACCTCACGTCAAATTCATTAGAGATTCTCTGAGGGCAAATAACTGGGAAGAGAGGGAAGAGTGGGGTCTTGCAATCACACTGCTAATGATTTATCATGAAACTTGAGGCTGGGTGCAGTGGCTCACACCTGTAATCCCAGCACTTTGGGAGGCCGAGGAGGGCAGATCCCCTAAGGTCAGGAGTTCAAGAGCAGCCTGGCCAACATGGAGAAACCCCGTCTCTACTAAAAATACAAAAATTAGCTGGGAGTGGTGGCGGGTGCCTATAATCCCAGCTACTCAGGAGGCCGAGGGAGGAGAATTGCTTGAACCCCAGAGGCAGAGGTTGTGGTGAGCCAAGATCATGCCACTGCAATCCAGCCTGGGCAACAGAGTGAGATTCCATCTCAAAAAAAGAAAAAAAAACCTTAAATCATCAGTCTGGATCAAAAGAGGGTTTAATAAATCAGCTTAAACCAGAGTCAATAGGCATAGGTAGAGGTCTAGATTTGTTTTTCATCTTTTAAACATAGAAAACATGTAAGGCTCAGAAAAGCTAAAGTTTATTCGAGGCCACACCCAAGACAGGTGGGCAGCATGCAGGTCTCTTGACTCCTCCGTGGCAGTTTGAGTCCCGAGCTATGGGTTGTGGAATGGGTCCAACTGAAGTCCCTGCCAAGTGGGACAGGTGCACTGCCATTGTTCCCATGGTGACAGATGGAACAAACACAAAACACAGGAAAGTCAGCTTATCTGAACACAGGTGTGCCTGCTGCTTTCTCAGTGTCTTCTCCTTGGATGAGTCTCGACTGTTAAAATCCCTGGCATCCTGACCTGTGTTCAGGAATTTCATTATCAGTCACTAAGAGGAAATGGTCCTCCAAAGGTGGGTAGGGAGATGATTGAGGGAAGAGAGATGGCCCAGGTAGGGCAGAGAGGGGAGGGGAGGGAAAGACCCTGGGGAGGGGAACAGGTAACTCCCACATGCCCAGCCCACACACAGTGCAGATTCCAAAATGGCAGCAATTCATCCAACTCAAATAAGAGAGACCAGTATACTTCAGAGCATCAAGAACCAATTCTTTCTTCAGATAAGCTTTTCAGAATGAGCAATATTTGCCTGTGAGAAGACTATGAGAGCCAGATTTAACTGCTAGTACTTTTAGGTTTTTGCATAATAGATCAGTAGCCATTTGGGTCAGTACATTCAAGCGTTTCTCTTCTGAGATCTGTATCAGCTTTGCAGGACTACGAAAGTTATGTTCAATAGCTTTGTGCATTGGGGGCGGGTTCATTCAACAATTTGTATGAAGGTTCCAGGTAACATGGTAGATAATAGTTTCCTTAGGCATGTAGATGACAAAATACTAGGAAAAGGACAACCCAGGAAAGTAATGGATTAAATTGAAATTCATCTGTAATATGCTAGAGAAGCAGAAACCATTAAGAAAGAAATTTGACTGGGTGCAGTGGCTCCCAACACTTTGGGAGGTCAAGATGGGAAGATCACTGGAGGCCAGGAGTTCAAGACCAACCTGAGCAATATAAGGCGACCCCATCTCTACAAAAATTTTTTTAAATTTTAAAAATTAGCCAGGTATTGTGGCACACACCTGTGGTCCCAGTGACTCAGGATGCTGAGGCAGGAGGATCCCTTGAGCCTGGGAGGTCAAGGCTGCAGCGAGCTCTGATTGCACCACTGCACTCCAGCCTGGGTGGCAGAGTGAGACCCTGCCTCAAAAAAAAAAAAAAAATAGAATGAAATTTGATAGAGACAAGAACAGGATATTATGCTTGGAGACAGAAAACAAACTGTAAGACACGAATAAGGAAATCTCAGTTGCACTTTCAGACACTGCAGCAAGCTCAGCCCAGGCCATATCTGGGCCTGGTAACAAGTCTCTTATTTAAGGGGCCAGACATCTTTAGGGCAGGTTTGCACAGCACATTTCCCATGCCTGACTTCATGCAGACCCCCCAATGTCCAGTGCAGAAGAGGAGGTGTCAGTACCCTCTCCATCCAGGGGTCAGAGAGTGTAAATGACCCACATGGACCACAAGGCTGCCGGGACTCAGCCCAAGGCCCAGGGCAGGGCACTCTGTGCTGGCACTCGAGATTACTTGGACACAAAGACCTTGGCCCTCTCTGAAAACATTGATTTATGATCCTTTTGTTCCTGCCGTTTGATATGAGAGCACGAAGGGAGAACCCACTGAGCTGGGCAGCTATCCCTTCAGAGCTATAAAGGGGTGACCCCATGGAGGGGTGTTCACCATATCAATTCAGCTGACATTTGCACAAACACACACCCAGAGTTTAAATGAGAAAGGTCTTATGACTTCAAAGTGAACTCCATCCTTGAGGCCCTCTAATGGGTTGGTCACACTAATCCACTGTCCTTTCAAACAATCAGGAAATAGCTTTAAAGTTCTGGGGGAGTATGCTTCCAGGAGAGGAAGAAGGGAGTGCTGGTCAGTGAAGGGGGCTTCAGTGGGCTACAAGACAGACCCCACACTGGGAGCAACAAGTGGGGGTGGTGGAAAGGACATGGATAATTCAAAAAACCAGCTTCAGCCAGGCACGATGGCTCACGCCTGTAATCTCAACACTTTGGGAAGCCAAGGTGGGTGGATTACCTGAGGTCAGGAGTTCAACACCAGCCTGGCCAACATGGTGAAACCCTGTCTCTACCAATAATACAAAAAAATACCCGGGCGTGGTGGCGGGCACCTGTAATCCCAGCTACTCGGGAGGCTGAGGCAAGAGAATCGCTTGAACCCAGTAGGTGGAGGTTGCAGTGAGCCGAGATTACACCATTTTACTCCAGCCTGGGCAACAAGAATGTCAGGCCTCTGAGCCCAAGCCAAGCCATCGCATCCCCCTGTGACTTGCACGTATATGCGCCCAGATGGCCTGAAGTAACTGAAGAATCACAAAAGAAGTGAATATGCCCTGCCCCACCTTAACTGATGACATTCCACCACAAAAGAAGTGTAAATGGCTGGTCCTTGCCTTAAGTGATGACATTACCTTGTGAAAGTCCTTTTCCTGGCTCATCCTGGCTCAAAAACCACCCTCACTGAGCACCTTGCGACCCCCACTCCTGCCTGCCAGAGAACAAACCCCCTTTGACTGTAATTTTCCTTTACCTACCCTAATCCTATAAAACAGCCCCACCCTTATCTCCCTTCGCTGACTCTCTTTTTGGACTCAGCCCGCCTGCGCCCAGGTGAAATAAACAGCCATGTTGCTCACACAAAGCCTGTTTGGTGGTCTCTTCACACGGACACGCATGAAATTTGGTGCCGTTTTTTGTTGCTCACACAAAGCCTGTTTGGTGTCTCTTCACACAGATGCGCATGAAATTTGGTGCTGTGACTCGGATCAGGGGACCTCCCTTGGGAGATCAGTCCCCTGTACTCCTGTTCTTTGCTCTGTGAGAAAGATCCACTTATGACCTCAGGTCCTCAGACCAACCAGCCCAAGGAACATCTCACATATTTTAAATCAGGTAAGCGGCCTCTTCTTACTCTCTTCTCCAACCTCTCTCACTGTCCCTCAACCACTTTCTCCTTTCCACTCTTCAATCTCTCCCTTCTCTTAATTTCAATTCCTTTCATTTTCTGGGAGAGACAAAGGAGACGCATTTTATCTGTGGACCCAAAACTCCGGCACTGGTCACAGACTGGGAAGGCAGCCTTCCCTTGGTGTTTAATCATTGCAGGGACGCCTCTCTGATTATACACCCACGTTTCAAGGGTGTCAAACCACGCAGGGACGCCTGCCTTGGTCCTTCACCCTTAGCGGCAAGTCCCGCTTTTCTGGGGAAGGGGCAAGTACCTCAACCCCTTCTCTCCATGTCTCTACCCCTTCTCTGCTTTTCTGGGAGAGGGGCAAGTACCCCTCAACCCCTTCTCCTTCACACTTAGCAGCAAGTCCCGCTTTTCTATGGGGCAAGAACCCCTAATCCCTTATTTCCATGCCGCAACCTCTTATCTCTGCGCCCCAATCCCTTATTTCCGTGCCCCAACCTCTTATCTCTGCGCCCCAATCCCTTATTTCTGCACCCCGACCTCTTATCTCTGTGCCCCAATCCCTTATTTCCGCGCCCCAACCTCTTATATCTCTGCACCCCAATCCCTTATTTCCACACCCCGACCTCTTATCTCTGCGACCCAACCCATTTTCCCACTTTTCTGGAAGGTAAGAACCCCCGAACCCCTTCCCTCCATTTCTCTACTCTCTCTTTTCTCTAGGCTTGCTTCCTTCACTATAGGCAACCTTCCACCCTCCATTCCTCCTTCTACTCCCTTGGCCTGTGTTCTCAAAAACTTAAAACTTCTTCAACTCACGCCTGACCTAAAACCTAAATGCCTTATTTTCTTCTGCAATGCTGCTTGACCCCAATACAAACTCGATAGTAGTTCCAAATAGCCAGAAAATGGCACTTGGAATTTTTCCATCCTGCAAGATCTAAATAATTCTTGTCGTAAAATAGGCAAATGTTCTGAGGTGCCTGACATCCAGGCATTCTTTTACACATCAGTCCCTTCCTAGTCTCTGTGCCCAGTGCAACTCCTCCCAAATCTTCCTTCTTTCCCTCCCGCCTGTCCCCTCAGTCCCAACCCCAAGCGTCACTGAGTCTTTCAAATCTTCCTTTTCTACAGACCCATCCGACCTCTCCCCTCCTCACCAGGCCGAGCTAGGTCCCAATTCTTCCTCAGCCTCCGCTCCTCCACCCTATAATCCTTTTATCACCTCCCCTCCTCACACCCGGTCTGGCTTACAGTTTCATTCTGTGACTAGCCCTCCCCCACCTGCCCAGCAATTTATTCTTAAAAAGGTGGCTGGAGCTGAAGGCATAGTCAAGGTTAATGCTCCTTTTTCTTTATCCCAAATCAGATAGCGTTTAGGCTCTTTTTCATCAAATATAAAAATCCAGCCCAGTTCATGGCTCGTTTGGCAGCAACCCTGAGACACTTTACAGCCCTGGACCCTAAAATGTCAAAAGCCATCTTATTCTCAATATACATTTTATTACCCAATCTGCTCCCAACATTAAATAAAACTCCAAAAATTAAATTCCAGCCCTCAAACCCCACAACAGGATTTAATTAATCTCGCCTTCAAGGTGTACAATAATAGAAAAAAGTTTCAATTCCTTGCCTCCTCTGTGAGACAAATCCCAGCCACATCTCCAGCACACAAGAACTTCCAAACGCCTGAACCGCAGCTGCCAGGCATTCCTCCAGAACCTCCTCCCACAGGAGCTTGCTACAAGTGCCAGAAATCTGACCCCCAGGCCAAGGAATGCCTGCAGCCCAGGATTCCTCCTAAGCCGCGTCCCATCTGTGTGGGACCCCACTGAAAATCGGACTGTCCAACTCACCTGGCAGCCACTCCCAGAGCCCCTGGAATTCTGGCCCAAGGCTCTCTGACTGACTCCTTCCCAGATCTTCTCGGCTTAGTTGCTGAAGACTGACACTGCCCAATCGCCTCGGAAGCCCCCTAGACCATCAAGGATGCCTAGCTTCCAGTAACTCTCACAGTGGAAGGTAAGCCCGTCCCCTTCTTAATCAATACGGAGGCTACCCACTCCACATTACCTTCTTTTCAAGGGCCTGTTTCCCTTGCCTCCATAACTGTTGTGGGTATTGACGGCCAGGCTTCTAAACCTCTTAAAACTCCTCAACTCTGGTGCCAACTTAGACAATACTCTTTTAAGCACTCCTTTTTAGTTATCCTCACCTGCCCAGTTCCCTTATTAGGCTGAGACACTTTAACTAAATTATCTGCTTCCCTGACTCTTCCTGGACTACAGCTATATCTCATTGCTGCCCTTCTTCCCAATCCAAAGCCTCCTTTGCATCCTCCTCTTGTATCCCCCCACCTTAACCCACAAGTATAAGATACTTCTACTCCCTCCTTGGCGACCGATCATGCACCCCTTACCATCTCATTAAAACCTAATCACCCTTACCCCACTCAACGCCAATATCCCATCCCGCAGCACGCTTTAAAAAGATTAAAGCCTGTTATCACTCGCCTGCTACAGCATGGCCTTTTAAAGCCTATAAACTCTCCTTATAATTCCCCCATTTTACTTGTCCTAAAACCAGACAAGCCTTACAAGCTAGTTCAGGATCTGCACCTTATCAACCAAATTGTTTTGCCTATCCCACCTTTGGCACCCTGTGGTGCCAAACCCATATACTCTCCTATCCTCAATACCTGCCTCTATAATCCATTATTCTGTTCTAGATCTCAAACATGCTTTCTTTACTATTCCTTTGCACCCTTAATCCCAGCCTCTCCTCACTTTCACTTGGACTGACCCTGACACCCATCAAGCTCAGCAAATTACCTAGGCTATACTGCTGCAAAGCTTCACAGACAGCCCCCATTACTTCAATCAAGTCCAAATTTCTTCCTCATCTGTTACCTATCTCGGCATAATTCTCATAAAAACACACGTGCTCTCCCTGCCAATCGTGTCCAACTGATCTCTCAAACCCCAGCACCTTCTACAAAACAACTCCTTTCCTTCCTAGGCATGGTTAGCGTGGTCAGAATTCTTACACAAGAGCCAGGACCACACCCTGTAGCCTTTCTGTCCAAACAACTTGACCTTACTGTTTTAGCCTAGCCCTCATGTCTGCGTGCAGTGGCTGCCGCTGCATTAATACTTTTAGAGGCCCTCAAAATCACAAACTATGCTCAACTCACTCTGTACAGTTCTCATAACTTCCAAAATCTATTTTCTTCCTCATACCTGACGCATATACTTTCTGCTTCCCGGCTCCTTCAGCTGTACTCACTCTTTGTTGAGTCTCCCACAATTACCGATGTTCCTGGCCCAGACTTCAATCCGGCCTCCCACATTATTCCTGATACCACACCTGACCCCCATGACTGTATCTCTCTGATCCACCTGACATTCACCCCATTTCCCCAGATTTCCTTCTTTCCTGTTCCTCACCGTGATCACGCTTGATTTATTGATGGCGGTTCCACCAGGCCTAATCGCCACACACCAGCAAAGGCAGGTTATGCTATAGTACAAGCCACTAGCCCGCCTCTTAGAACCTCTCATTTCCTTTCCATCGTGGAAATCTATCCTCAAGGAAATAACTTCTCAGTGTTCCATCTGCTATTCTACTACTCCTCAGGGATTCTTCAGGCCCCCTCCCTTCCCTACACATCAAGCTCGAGGATTTGCCCCACCCAGGACTGGCAAATTAGCTTTACTCAACATGCCCCAAGTAAGATAACTAAAATACCTCTTAGTCTGGGTAGATACTTTCACTGGATAGGTAGAGGCCTTTCCTACAGGGTCTGAGAAGGCCACTCCAGTCATTTCTTCCCTTCTGTCAGACATAATTCCTCAGTTTAGCCTTCCCACCTCAATACAGTCTGATAACAGACGAGCCTTTATTAGTCAAATCAGCCAAGCAGTATTTCAGGCTCTTAGTATTCAGTGAAACCTTTATATCCCTTACGGTCCTCCGTCTTCAAGAAAAGTAGAATAGACTAAAGGTCTTTTAAAAACACACCTCACCAAGCTCAGCCACCAACTTAAAAAGGACTGGACAATACTTTTACCACTTTCCCTTCTCAGAATTCAGGCCTGTCCTCGGAATGCTACGGGGTACAGCCCATTTGAGCTCCTGTATAGACGCTCCTTTTTATTAGGTCCCAGTCTCATTCCAGACACCAGACCAACTTGGACGGTGCTCCAAAAAAATTGTCATCCCTACTATCTTCTGTCTAGTCATACTCCTAGTCACCGTTCTCAACTACTCATACGTGCCCTGCTCTTGTTTACACTGCCGGTTTACACTGTTTTTCCAAGCCGTCACAGCTGATATCTCCTGGTGCTATCCCCAAACTGCCACTCTTAACTCTTGAAGTAAATAAATAATCTTTGCTGGCAGGACTATGCTGAATCTCCTTAGGCACTCTCTAATCAGATATCCTGAGTCGTCCCAATTCTTAGACCTTTTATACCTGTTTTTCTCCTTCTCTTATTCCAGTTTCTCAATTCATCCAAAACCGTATCCAGGCCATCGCCAATCATTCTATACGACAAACATTTCTTCTAACATCCCCACAATATCACCCCTTACCACAAGACCTCCCTTCAGCTTAATCTCTCCCACTCTAGGTTCCCACGCCGCCCCTAATCCCGCTTGAAGCAGCCCTGAGAAACATCGCCCACTCTCTCTCCATACCACCCCCCAAAAATTTTCGCCGCCCCAACACTTCAACACTATTTTGTTTTATTTTTCTTATTAATATAAGAAGGCAGGAATGTCAGGCCTCTGAGCCCAAGCCAAGCCATCGCATCCCCTGTGACTTGCACGTATACGCCCAGATGGCCTGAAGTAACTGAAGAATCACAAAAGAAGTGAAAATGCCCTGCCCCGCCTTAACTGATGACATTCCACCACAAAAGAAGTGTAAATGGCCGGTCCTTGCCTTAAGTGATGACGTTACCTTGTGAAAGTCCTTTTCCTGGCTCATCCTGGCTCAAAAACCACCCCCACTGAGCACCTTGCGACCCCCACTCCTGCCTGCCAGAGAACAAACCCCCTTTGACTGTAATTTTCCATTACCTTCCCAAATCCTATAAAACGGCCCACCCTTATCTCCCTTCACTGACTCTCTTTTCGGACTCAGCCCGCCTGCGCCCAGGTGAAATAAACAGCCATGTTGCTCACACAAAGCCTGTTTGGTGGTCTCTTCACACGGACGCGCATGAAAAAGAGCAAAACTCCGTCTCAAAAAAAAAAAAGAAAGAAAACCAACTTCCAGATTTGTCCATTGTACCCCACACAAGCCAGACTAAAGAGCAGCCACAGTCCCTTCTCCCTTCTCAGCCGGTGACACTGACCAGAGACAGAGGGGACTGCCAAGAGGCCACTGCTGGTCAGAAATGCTCACACTCACTCACGTGTTCTCACACACTCTCACACAATTCACACTCACTCATACACACTCAGATACACTCACACACTCACACACACACTCTCATACTCACATTTTTTCACAATCTCTCCAATTCTTTTTTATTGAAGAATGTGTTATTTATTGAAAATATGTATAACTTTAACAAATTACAGTAACTCCATTATCCCGACAACGATTTTTATTTTTATAGGCCTTCAGTCCTTGTACACATTAAACAGACCACTCACAGGGTCCCACACTGCAGTGAGCAGCAGCTCACTGCAATTCCTTAGGCCACCCTGTACAATGCCACCCCAAGAGCGGCTCCAAATTTTAAGTCCAGAAGACAAACACAGAAACCCAACAAGATATATATTTACAAATACAGTGTAGAGAACAGCAAAATATTTCAATAGTTTTGTCTAAAATGCTTTCTTTCATGCATCATGTAGAGGCTATAGAGAGGGGAACAGTCTCTGGATCACAGAAAGGGGAACTTAAGCAAAAAACAAACAAACAAAAACGATGCTAGGCCTGGTGCAGTGGCTTAGGCCTGTAATCCCAGCACATTGGGAGGCAGAGGCAGGTGGATCGCTTGAGCCCAGGAGTTCCAGACCAGCCTGGGCAAAATGCTGAAACTCCATCTCTACCAAAAAAAAAAAAAAAAAAAAAGAATACAAAAATTAACCAAGTGTGGTGGCATGCAGTTGTAGTCCCAGCTACACAGGAGGCTGACTTGGGAAGATCACCTGAGCCTGGGAGTTCGAAGCTGCAGTGAGTCGTGATCGTGCCACTGCACTCCAGTCTGGACAACAGAGTGAGACTCTGTCTCAAAAACAAAAACAAGTAAATAAAAGTGTGCTTTCCAAAACCTTCCAGTAACCCCAACATGAGACACATAAGCAACCAAGTATACTTCAAAAGTCTCAGATTCTCATTTAAGTTGACTTTCAATCATCAATGTTGGCACCATGCTGCTGGTTTGGGGGAATTGTGTGTGTGTGTGTGTGTGTGTGTGTGTGTGTGTGTGTGTGTTTAATCATCCTTATTACAGTTGAACATGCTGCTGTTTAAAATCACCAATGCAAACATTGCCATTTTTGGTAATCCTGCTGTTTTCATTTATGAGAAAACCTGCAGAAAGTACTCTGCCTACACCAAAGTGAAGTAGCAAAGAAACAGGTGACCACAGAATCATAAGGCCCTAAGACAGGCAGCAGAGCATACGGTTACCCCTAAGTGGGAAAAATGCCTGCCCTCAAACTATGCAACCTGTTGCCTCTTCCTAGGAACACTATTTTTTTCTCTTGCTGGTCTTCTGTTTGATAGATGCACTTCAAATTTACCTGTTAAATTAGGCCACGTTCTTTTGAGTTTTGTTTCCAATTCACACCAACAAGAATTCTTCCACTGATGTTTTTGAAAAGTTATTGACCATGTGACTGTGACAAAAAAACTATAAATGGGGTGTGGTGGTTCACGCCAGTAATCCCATTGCTTTGGGAGGCTGAGGTGGGAGGATCTCTTGAGGCCAGGGGTTCGAGACCAGCCTGGGCAACATAATGAGACCCTGTCTCTACAAATAAAAAATAAAAACCCTACAAATGTGAGGATGCAAACCAGTTGTTTAGTACTCAGCCCATCATATATTATTGGAGCCACTGACTTTTACTTAAAATATTTAATTCTCAAAATTTAAAATTCAAATTTCATAAAATCTCCAGAGTCTTGATAAACTGGAAAATCAGGTGACACTGTCTATAAATCAGCCAGAGCAAATAACTCACTGTTTGTCCCCTTCAGACACCGTGTGTTTCCCTATTACAGCCAGCCCTTCCTGGGCCTCTGAAGGTATTTCAGTTTTTGACCCCCGAATTATAGTAAACAGGAGCAAATTCTGATAACAATGTTTGTCACCATTAAAAATAAGCTTTTAGAGACAGTCACACTCTCTGTAAAGGAATTTTTTAAGTATTTCTACAAAATGTATGGATTCTCCACAGTTTGATCCACTTAGTCTGCTTGGCTAACAAGGATATGAAATGGGCCCTTATGTCATTAGTAAAAGATATAAATTCATTCTTCTCCTGACCTTAGTTAATAGTTGGTTAGAAAAAGATAAGTTTCCAACTGCCGGGTGGTAATGATATGCATGCTGAAGGCACACGTGTCAGAAAACCAAACAATTTCACGACTACCTGCACACTTTCAGCTGGTAAGTTATGCATATTGTCAGTTTAACCAAGACTAAGCCAAAGAGAATTTCTTGAACATTCCCACTTTTCTTTGGCACATCAAAAGGCAACAAATGCCATTTTCTCCAGTGTTTACATGTCCAGTATAGAAAAAAAAGACCAATTCTCCATCTATATGCCAAGCATGAAATAAAAAGCATAAATATGGTCCGGGCTAAGTCACCTGGGTGGGGCCCATCCAAGGGAGAGTTTGATGTTTCCTTGCATGGAAAGTTCCTGCCGCCAATGGCACTGCACTGTGATTATCTTAGCTAGTAAGATTCAAGAAAAATGGAAATATTTGTGAAGAGGTGACCTCTCCCTCACCTCCACACTTTGCCTCTTTTCCCTTTTCTCCCAAAATAAGAGACTTTAAACAGCAAGCACTTAAAATAGCTTTTAGCCTTGCTTTAGTATAAGGTCCAGGGTACCATATGGTTTGGCCATTGGAAGAAAGCTGAAACACAGGCCTTTGTGGGTGTTAAAATTCAAGTAGCCGTTTCTAGCACTTTTCTCATACATTCTTTAAAACAACAAACTATGGACTTTCCCATGGGACAGTTTCAGGTGATCCCCCTTTGTGAATGAAGGACCACTTCAGAGTTTGGGGGAAACGCGAAGATTTTAGTGACTTACCAGGGATCTGGTAAGATCAGGGAGAGCCCCTCTCCCCTTTTCCAGCTGGACACTGAAACTGAAGCCTGTGAAATGGACCCGGCAATGAGGCAGTGCTTACCAGGTTCTCCAAGGCCACCCCAGCCGAAACGCGGAAAGAGTCCTGATCAGCCTGACTCCATTTCAGCTCAGACACTGCCCTGCCAGTTTGTACTTCCCTTAATCACCACGTCCTCACTCTGGACACCGTATCGGGATGTGAGGCAGGGAACCTATTCACAGCTCCAAAGAGGCCTGGTCCCCTGTTTGGATCTCCCCAAAGGGTACTTACTTGTTTTCTCCGCTCTTTGAGATTTTTGCTTAATTTCAAATTTCCAAAATATGCCATAAGTGAACACTAAAAATGTTGGAACACTATGGCTACTCTACTATGCTTGGGCAGGGAAAATTAACAGCTGATAAACTGTGAGTACAAAGGATGCCAAAGTTCATTCTGAGTTTTAATATCATCTAGATAAAAAACAAGAAAAGCAGCAAGTCTACACCTCAGCGCTCTCTCCAAGTGACACACCCACTCACATCTGCACACACATTACTCACACTCATACACACTCTGTCACCCTCACATACATTCACATTTACTCACATGTCCTCTAGGCCACACACATGAACACCCACACGCAGAGATGCCCCAGTACGTTTGGACACACATAGCAGAGGCTCACCCCCAGAGCTTACATGAGAACAAGAGAACACGCCTTTCTAGCCTCACACTACTCAGCACTAGAATCTACTGGTCCAACAAGGCTAGTCTCATTAGAATGCCGTAAACTTACCCTGCAAATCAGTGTTGGCCAGTCTCTGTGTTTTTTGTGGATGAATCCCCCAAATGATTTCATTCATCTTTCAAAGCTCAGCACCAATCCAATCTCCCTCATAAAGTCTTCCTCAACTACTATTAATACCTCACCTCTATGAAAGGCAGAGTGGCCAGTGGAATGCAGCTCACAAGCAAAACTGGGGACCCGCTGCTAGAGCCCGGTGCCTTCCTGTCTGCAGCCTGGAGGCGGCTTTGACTGGCTCACTGAGTCTCCCAGCCCTTGGCACAGAACAGGCCCTTCGTCAACAATGAACCTTCTCATTGACTCTTAAGAAGCTGTGACTTTATTCTGTAGGTAATGGAAATTCAGTGGACACTTCTAAGAAGATTAACCCTGGGAGCTAAGTGATGAGAACTTATGAACACAAAGAAGGAAACAAAAGTCACTGGGGTCTACAGGGTGGAGGGTGGAAGGTGGGAGGAAGGAGAGGAGAAGACAAGATAACTGTTGGGTACTGGGCTTGATACCTGGGTGATGAAATAATATGGACAACAAACCCCTGTGACACATCTCTACCTATGTGACATGTCTTTACCTATGTTACCTATTTAACAAATAAAAGTTAAAAAAAAAGAAAATTACAGAACACTGCTGGAAGAAATATTTAAATATTTAAAAAGATTAACACAATCAAATCTGTGTCATAGGAAAAACAAGTTTGGCAGTGGGGGTGGGAGGGGCTAGATTCAAAGGGAGAAAAGCTAGAGGCAGGGAGACGGACAGTTATTACATTTCTGCATGGGTTCAGTTTGTCAGCGGGCTCATGAGCTGCTAGCTCCAGAAGATGCCTGAGACCCCACGTAGTCCAATTTCTTCACCTACAGCTGAGAAAACTGAGGTGGGGAGAAGAGAAGACACAGCACGTTCTAGCAAAAAGTCAACAAAGACATGTAGCAAAACCAGACCTTTGCTACCCAACCTCAAGGCACATACGCCACAGTGGAGGATCAAGGCAGAGACATAGGCAGCAGAAGAAAGATCCAGAACATAACAGGACCTAATTACTTCCAACATGAGTGACAAAGACCATAAACCCCAAAGGAATTGCAGCGAGGGAAGCATCAGCACAAGCTGAGAGACACGGAGTGGAATTTGTACTGGAAAATGCATGTCCAGGAATTGTGAGTAGGCGTTGGGGGACCCCTCAGGAGTCCACCCAACTGACGGAAGAGAGTTAACATGGGATACATGTGGTTGGACACATGGGATGCAGCAGGGGTAGCTCACGGAGGGCACTGAACCTCAAACTAATGAATCTGGACCAGACTTAATTGGCAAAATATAGTCAGTGCAACTGCACCGGACCAATCTGGCTCAACTTTTTTTTTTTTTTTTTTGAGACAGATTTTTGCTCTGTCGCCAGGATGGAGTGCAATGGCGCAATCTCGGCTCACTGCAACCTCCACCTCCTAGGTTCAAGCGATTCCCCTGCCTCGCCTCCCGAGTAGCTGGGATTACAGGCATGCGCCACCACGCCTAGCTAATTTTTGTATTTTTAGTAGAGATGGGGTTTCATCATGTTGGCCAGGCTGGTCTCAAACTCCTGACCTCAGGTGATCCACCCATCTCAGCCTCCCAAAGTGCTGGGATTACAGGCGTGAGCCACCACACCCCACCCAGCTCAACTTTTATGTAACAAAGTTATGACTTGTTTTTCAGTCATCATGGACTCCCAGGTTGAAGGTCACATGACCTGAGCCTGCCCAGGAGATCTAAGTGTGCAACCACAGTGGGGACCTACGTGCTGGGACGGAGGAGCAGGGACTGAGTTAAGAAGCAGACACTGGATGGTAGGATCCGGGATCCAATCAGATGGAGCTCCGGCATCATCCCATGGCAGGAAGCAGTCAAACCATGCCTCCCGGCATCACCTCATTGCAAGATCCATTTAGACCACACCTCATTACCCTGCGCTTATAAAACACAAACCAAACCCCAGCTTGGGGAGACAGACTTGAGCATTTCCTACTGTCTCTTTGCCAGTTGAGTCGCAATAAAGCTTTTTCTTTTCTCAAAAGCTGGCACAATGGTATTGGCCTCTATGCGCATTGGGCGTCAAGCCACTGATTGCTAGGTTACAAGTGTTCTTGAATATAAGAACAGCTGGATTAAATTTGTATCTTAGGAAGATTTCATCAGTCAGCCTTCAGTATGATTTAGAGAGGAGAGTAGAGTTGGAATGACAGTTTTGAAGCTCATGTAAAAAGTCAGTGTATCTATCATTGTGCATTGAATAATCCCATAACTTAGTGGCTTAAAACAATAATCAGTGACTTGTATCTCTCAAAGTTTCTGTGGATCAGGAAGTCAGGAATGGCTTGGCAAGGGTAGTCCTGGCTCAGTCATGAGCTGGAGGCTTCAAGCAAATGTCAGCCCCTGACCGCAAGTAACTTACCCGCCTCGGCCTCCCAAAGTGCTGGGGTTACAGGCATGAGCCACCACGCCCGGCCTCCCTGCTTTATTATCTCCATTTTGTAACTGACAGACACTAATCCAAAAACCTCAGAGCTGAGGAAGCACAACCTTCAGACCAACTCTCAGAAGCAGGGCGGAATGAGAAAGACACAGAACAGTACAATGTTTGAATCATGATGAAGCCTTTCAACAGCATCATCCAGGCTCATCCTTCACTAAACCTCCCTACCTGCCTCCTGCCCCATCCCTTCATTTAGAGCTGGGTTCCTGCTGTGGGCAAACATCTACTAGGGCCTGTATGGGAGTAAAGCAGACCTCAGTTAGGGAGGCCAGCAGCAGAAAAACTCGACTTTCACTTTGGGTTTCTGTTTGACTCTTGAAAGCCACATCACCAGGCCTCTTATGCAGCTAGGAGCTATGAAGGTGCAGGGAAAGAGCAAGATCAGGGAGGGCAGCTCACAGAAAGCCTGTGCCTACCCACGTAACTGAATTCTGCCACTTCATGGATACTGTGAAAGAACGCTCCACTTAAAGAGAGTCACTACACAGATACCCTAACCTGTAAAACACAATAACTGGGAACCAATCAGCAAAAAGGTTTTTGTATTTTTTATTGACGTATCACAGTTGTACATATTTATGGGGTGTATGTGATATTTTGATACCTGTATACAATGTGTAATGATCAAATCAGAGTAATTGGAATACCCCTCACCTCAAACATTTCTTTGTGTTGGGAACATTATATTTTTTTCTTCTAGTTTTTCTTTTGAAATATACAATAAGTTATATTGTTTTATTTTGTTTTTGTTTTTTGTTTTCATTTTTGTTTTTTGAAACAAGGTATCACTCTGTCACCCACGCTAGAGTGCAGTGGTACAATCAGGGTTCACTGCATCCTCAACCTCCTGGGCTCAAGCGATCCTCCCACTCCAGTCTCTCAAGTAGCTAGGACTATAGGCATGTGCCACCACACCCAGCTAGTTTTTCTGGAGACAAGTTTTCCCCATGTTGCCCAGGCTGGTCTTGAATTCCTTGCTTCAAGTAATTCACCCACCTCAGCGTCCCCAAGTGCTGGGATTACAGGCATGAGCCACCATGCTTGGCTTACAATAAACTACTGTTAAGTATAACTTCTCTGCTGTACTATTGAATACGAGAACTTATTTCTTCTATCCGACTGTATTTTTGTACCCCTTAACCTACTTCTCTTCATCCCTACAGCCCCCTTCTCTTCCCAGCCTCTGATAACCACCATTCCATTTCCAAAAAGTCTTTAAGGGGATGAAAATAAAAGGTGGGAAAAGATGAGCCCAAACTGGAAAACTGGGATAACAATCTCAACCTTTAACAAAATAGAATTCAAGTTAAAAAGAATCATAGGTTACTGGCAAAAAGAATCATACAGCCAAAAGATATAATCACCTAAATTCAAAACCATATATCCTCAAAATACATGAAGCAAGGGTAAATCAACAGTTGTGGGTGAAGACTTAGCACACCTTTCTCAAACACTAATGGCTTGAGCAGATAAAAATTATAAACAAAGATATAGAGTATGCTTGAACTATGAGTTATATACAGGACTCAATGTCTAACAAAGAGAAGATACACATTCTTTTCAGGCATACATAGGATGTTTCTAAAAACTGACTATGTACCTCAATGATCAATTCTAAAGAATCAATATTATATATATATATATCTCCCATGTATTCTCTGACCACATAACAATAAAATTAGAAATCAATATCAAAAAAGTATCTTTTTGAAATACCATATCCAACTAACCCTTAAATAACATGGGAGTTAGGAACATTGACCCCCCGCTCAGTCAAAAATTCACATACAACTTTTGACTCCCTCCAAAAGCTTTACTAATAGCCTACAGTTGACAGGAACATCACCGATAACACAAATAGTTGATTAACACATACTGTGTATGTTATATGTATTATATACATTATTCTTACAATAAAGAAAGCTAGAGCAAAGCAAATATTATTAAGAAAATTCTAAGAAAGAGAAAATACATTTTCTATTGATTAAGTGGAAGCAGATCATCATCAAAGTCTTCATCCTCATCGTCTTCACATTGAGTAGCTGGGGAGGAGGAGGAAGAGGAAGAGTTGGTCTTGCTGTCTCAGGGGTGGCAGAGGCAGAAGAAACCTCCAGTAGAAGTGGACCCGTGCAATTCAAATCTTTGTTGTTTAAGGGTCAACTATGTCTGGAAACCAATTAACATGCTAACAAATATATTTACATTAAAATAAACTAATAGGAAAATTATAAAATAAATAACAATGAAAACACTGCCAAGCAAAACCTGGGGTGCCAGGCCCAGATGGTTACCTAGGTAATCTCTACCAAAATTTCAAAGAATAAATAATATGCTACATAATCTTACTGACTCTAATAGCGTATTAAGAAAAATTACAACCAATTAGTATTCAGCTCAGGAAGGCAAGAATGGTTCCATGGAAAACATTTGTCAATGTAGTTAACATTGCTAGAATAAGGGAGAACAATTCTATGATTATCTCAATTTCTACAGAAGAGACACTCGGTAAAGTTTAATAACTATGTATTAAGGTGGGGGAAATCTCTTAACAAATTGAAGAAACCAAAGATAGAAAGGGAATGCCTTAACTTAGAAAAGGTTATACATCAGAAAACTTACAGCAAATACTCTGCTAAGGGAGAAGCTTGACCCTCACTCCCTTTAATTGTGAAAGCAAGACCATGCTCTTCCGTCCAGGACTGCCCTTTAACATAGTCCTGAAGGGCTCAGCCAACAGTGCAAGAAATAAAAAGGAAAGAGCAGAAGAGTGGGAGGGGAAAAGATAAAAATATCATAATTTGCAGACTGTAGGATCATCTATAATAAAAAAACAAATGGAGTTTATAAAGATCATTGAAGACCAGAAAAACTTAAAAAAAATCATTTGTAGCATTTCCCTTTACCATCAAAAGTCAATAAGAGAATGATAATAAGATGGTGACTCACAATAGTGACAAAAATTATCTTGTATCCAGGAATTTAATTATGGAATACTTAAGACCTAGGCGGGGTGTGGTGGCTCATGCCTGTAATCCCAGCACTTTGGGAGGCTGAGGTGGGCAGATCATTTGTGGCCAGGATTTCAAAACTATCCTGGCCAACATGGTGAAACCCCATCTCTACTAAAAGTACAAAATTAGCCAGGCATGGTGATGTATGCCTGTAGTCCCAGCTACTCAGGAGGCTGAGGCAGGAGAATCGCTTGAACCTGGGAGGCAGAGGTTGCAGTGAGCTGAGATTGCGCCACTGCATTGCAGCCTGGGTGACAGAGCGAAACTCCATCTCAAAAAAACAAAAACAAAGAAAACTTAAGGCCTGTATGGAGAACAAATTTAAACTCTTTTAAAGGACATTGTTTTAAAGATCTGAATAGAGGAACATTTCACACTCTCAGCTGGGTTAGTGTAATAGTATAAAGATATCTATTCTTCCTCAAACTGATGTATAAATTTAATGCTGCACCAATCAAAATTAATGCCAAACTTCTTGAGGAATTTGATAAGCTCACTCTAAAATGTATATGGAAGAATAATGTCCATATATAGCTATCTATTTTGAAAAAGAAGAGCAGAGAGAGGCTTGACCTACTAGATATTACCACTTTCCCTAAAACCACACTAATTAATAGCATGACAATGGCTCTGCAGCAACAGCCACAGTACTGAGCTCAGACACAGGCCCAGGTGTGATTGGGGCTATGATAAAAGCAGCTCCACAATCACTGAGGGAAGAACAGACTATCTAGGATGGGGTTGGGAAAACTCACTTGCTACGTGGCAAAAAATAAAAGCAGATGTCTAAAGCCATGTATAACAGTGGAATCCAGATGGGATCCCACCCAAATGTGGAAGGCTGGATTACAAGTTTAATAGAAGATGATGTAAGAGAATAACTTTGTGACTTAGGAGTGAAGAGGAACAACTTAAAAAGAATCCCCAAAACAGAATGAAACAGAAATTAAATACTGATTAATAACATTGGAATTTAGCAGTTCTTTTCAACCAAGAACCCCAGGACAGAGTTAATATTTTGTACTTATTTAACAAACATTCATATATACTATGCATCAAGCTTTACTATGTGTTCCTGGGTGCTTTAAAATATCAACCGATTCAATATTCTTAGCAACCCCATGAGGTGGGTACCATAAGGTGCTGAGATGCACAGAGGTTAATCTGCCTAGGGTCCCATAGGTAACAGGCACAGCCAGAATTCAAACTCAGGTCTTTAGAGCCAAGTTCTGAACCACTGACCTACAGGGCCATGCCACAGAGTGGTGACAGATTGGGACAAGATATGTGCTATATCCAAAACAAAGAAGGACACAAATTTAGAATGTACAAAGAACTTCTGTAAATCAACAGCGTAAAACAGAGAAGCCCAATAGAAAAAAAAGGGTGCCAAGTGTATGAACAGGCAATTTACAGGAGAGGAGATACAAAGGACTGCTGACAAGCCTTCAGAAGAGAAATTTAAACTCATTATTATCAGAAAAATAAAAATAAAACAACAAAACATCACATTACACCTACGAGATTGGCAACAAGTCAAAAGCTGGGCATGAGGCTCCAGGAGGCTAATTGCATTGCTGGGGCAGGGATGGAGTGGACGGGTGCAGCCACTCTGGGGAGCAACTTGGTGGTTGTTATTCCATCTGGGTATACTCATACTTCATGACTCAGCAATCCAGCTCATTCATATGTATATTTATGTATGCAGGTATTCAGGAGCTGGATATATATGTAAATCTTCCAGGGAAGTTCTCACAGATGTCCTAGAGGGGAATGAATGTGTGAATGTTCTCATCCCAGTTTGGTCCTGGTACTGGGGAGTTGAGGGGGACCTAGATACCTGTTTCTAGGTGAAGCAACGTATACCATGTGGTGGGTACTCACTGTGGAATCCTATGCAGTGGTGTGAAACCACACACTGGGTGTACACACAAAAACACAGACAGAGAAACATTGTGCTGAGTAAAAAAGGAAACAGAATTACATCTATAGCACATTACTATTTATGTAAATTGAAAAGCACACACACAAAATCACAGTATGTGTTTTATAAAATATATTTATTGTCTTTTTTTTTTTTTTTGAGCTAGGGTCTTGCTCCGTCTCCCAGGCTAAAGTACAATCATGGTTCACTGCAGCCTTGACTTCCTGGGCTAAAGTGATCCTCCCACCTCAACCTCCCCAAGTACTTGGAACTACAGCCACATGCCACCATGCCTGGCTAATTTTTAAAAGATTTTTTTAGAGATAGTATCTTGCTGTGTTGCCCAGGCTGGTCTCAAACTCCTGGCTTCAAGCGATCCTCCCTCCTCAGCTTCTCCAAGTACTGAGATTACAGGTGTGAGCCACCGATCCTGGCCTATAAACTATATCAATATTTGTACTGATGTAAAGTTTATGCATAAACTATATTGTTTTTAAACTAAATGTTTGTTTACAAATGAAAAGATGGATACAGACATAGATCCAACATGAGGAATGGTTGCCCATGAAGGAAAGAAAATGAGAGTGGAAACACCTCTAAAAAGGAATGAATAAATTAAAATTAGAAACCAGGGTGGAATCTTGTGCAGAACAATGATGATTAATGTGCCCTGAGCCAAGAAGTATGATTAACTCAGCCCTCCATGTCATGTCTGAGTCAAAAAAAGTGTCCACAATTATGAAACACAATGATTAGGAAATGATCTTTTTTTTTTTTTTTACACAATGGTGTCATCTATCATAGCGTCTCTTTAAACCACAATGTTTCCTTATCTCTTTAGACTATTTTGTTTTTTAAAAAGTAAGTTTCCAATTAAACTATTAAATAATGCATCTGTCATACAGGGCTACACCCATATGCCTTTAATATATATATAATATATATACATAAATCAGACATGTTTTCTATCTTTGTCCTAAACAGGTACTTTGGTCTAATTTTTAGAGGAATTGGTCTCCAAACAAGTCCCTCAGAACTAGTCATGACAATCTACTGGAGATGGAAAGAGATCTTAGAAATTCAATCCTACCTAGTGAAGAAATTAAGTTCTAGCTGTTTCCTGTGTGACTGCTGCTGCTCTTCCTTTCTCTACACATCAGCTGTGCATGGCCCCCAGGTTGGGCGCCATGCACAGCTATCCTGGGGGTCTGGATGGTGGTGGCCTGTGGCTCTCATTTTTTCACTCCTTCACTCCTTCCACTGCTGCTGTGTGAGGCAGTTACCTGTGTCCATTTAGACTGTCTAGTTTTAACCAGATTCATGCTTACAAAACAGGCATAAAAGATTCCTGCAAAGAAACTGCAGAGGGAAAATAAAGTTAACCAAGAAAGCCAGCTGATCCAGCAGAAAGGAGCAATGGTGGCCTTTTCCCTACTCCTGACACAAGCTCTTCAACAGCCATGATAACAGATAAAACAATGGCAATCGAATCAGACCAGGCGAACATTCAGCCACAAACACTGAAACCATCAAGAAGATGTAAAGACTGGATTTATAGCCACTATCAATCTCTCTTATGTGTGTGTTGTGCCGTGACAGTGGCTAATGATAGCATAAACCATCCAGACATTGACAGGCTAAACGAGAACATGCATAAAAGGACAGACCTTTACAGGTTCTTCAGCAATGGTTAAAGTGAGGAAATGTTTAATTAATCCACCACTTTGAAAGCTCACTGCACTTAACAACAAATTTAAAAACTTCTTTCACATCTTCTCACTTCATAACAGTAGACTAAAAACATCACTTAACATTTGGGAAATGCACAATTTTTTCCCTACTAGGGAATTAGATTTCCTTGCTAGAGAAAAAAAAAATGGCTGAAATAAAATACGAAAAACAACTTAGCAACAGACTAAAATGTAATCCTTTGTTAATAGCTACTATTGAAAGACACATGTTCAAATGTTGGTGAGCATTTGAAGAAGCAAGCATTAGAATACGTTGTGTAGCCAGAGAGGTTTATTATACAAGAGGAAAGTAAGGATGTCCCCAACAGGTCTAGGCTTATAGCATTTGTTAGGTTCTGTATGGATGGTGAAATATAGCTTTTTCGTTCTGCATTTTTAGTAGAGATGGGGTTTCACCATGTTGGCCAGGCTGGTCTTGAACTCCTGACCTCAAGTGATCCACCCGCTTCGGCCTCCCAAAGTGCTGGGATTACAGGCATGAGCCACTGCGCCCGGCCGATGGTGAAATATATCTTTTTTTTTTTTTTTTGAGACGGAGTCTCGCTTTGTTCCTCAGGCTGGAGTGCAGTGGCGCAATCTCGGCTCACTGCAAGCTCTGCCTCCCGGGTTCACGCCATTCTCCTGCCTCAGCCTCCCAAGTAGCTGGGACTACAGGCGTCCGCCACCACGCCCAGCTAATTTTTTGTAGCTTTAGTAGAGACGGGGTTTCACCATTTTAGCCAGGATGGTCTCGATCCCCTGACCTCGTGATCTGCCCGCCTTGGCCTCCCAAAGTGCTGGGATTACAGGCGGGAGCCACCGCGCCCGGCAGAAATATATCTTAAAATCTCCTTTTTTGTGAACCACTAAAAGATGCCCCGGAGAAGATGCACTCAACATTAAATAACAATTTGAATAAAAATAGTGCCTCACAAGAAGACTGCAAGGTGCAGCCACAGAGGGAGTTGCTGCTTTCACTCGAACTTTCTTCTTTAAGTACAAGAAATTATGGGATTAGGTTTACAAATAAACTCCTCCCTTGAAATTCATTTGCAGAAAAGTTACTGTGGCATACAAGTTGACCACAATGCAACAAGTGCTGCCGAATGTCACCAATGTGGTTAGTTTTATTTAAAAAAAAAAAAAAAAAAAAAAAAAAGATCTCGGCCGGGCACTGGGACTCATGCCTGTAATCCCAACACTTTGGGAGGCCGAGGCGGGCGGATCACGAGATCAGGAGATGGAGACCATCTGGCTAACGCGGTGAAACCCCGTCTCTACTAAAAAAAAAAAATACAAAACATTAGCTGGGCGTGGTGGCAGGCGCCTGTGGTCCCAGCTACTCGGGAGGCTGAGGCAGGAGAATGGCATGAACCCGGGAGGCCGAGCTTGCAGTGAGCCGAGAAGGCGCCACTGCACTCCAGCCTGGGAGACAGAGCGAGACTCCGTCTCAAAAAATAAATAAATAAATAAATAAATAAATAAATAATCTCTAAACTTTCATTCCAGATAGTCATGAAATTTTTATAGCACAAGGGTTGCCTCGTGGCCAAATACTTAAAAACCTCATCAAAACCAATCATTTCTATTGTACAAGATGTTCCAAGTTGGCTGATAACGTTTCATGATGACACGTGGCATTCAACAATCTGCTTCCCAGCGGATATTATTAAGACATCTCAATAAATTTTTACAACATTCACAGTCTTCAAGGTAAAGGTAAAGTTTTAACAGGAGTGAGAGAATAAGCCTTTTAGAAAGAAAGGTGTGTACTGGAGAAGGCATTTTTAAAACATGTGTTTAAAAATGTTTCCATCATTATATAACTTCATTCCTAAAAACCGTTAAGTGTGACACCAACAATAACCCTCATTTCTACAGGCTTTAAAAACTTAGTAGCACCAGGAAAATAAAAAGACAACCCAAAGAATGGGAAAAATATCTGTAAATCATTTATTTGATAAGGGACTTGTATCTAGAAAATACTAAGAACTCTTACAACCCAATAATTAAAAAGATGAACAATCCAATTAAATATGGGCAAAGGATTTAAATAGATATTTTTCCACAGAATATATAAATGACCAATAAGGTCATGAAAACATGTTCAACATCATTATTCATTAGGAAATGCAAATCAAAACCACGATGATATAACACACACCTACTAGGATGACTATAATAAAAAAAAACAAGTATTGAAGAAGTGAAAAAACTGGGAGGCTCATACATTGCTAGCAGGAAAGTAAAATGATACAGCCACTTTGAAAAAGTCTGGTGGTTCCTCAAAAGAATAAACATAGAGTTTCCATACAACCCAGCAATTCCACTCATAGGTATATGTACAAAGAAATGAAAACATACAACCATGTAAAAGATTGCACATGAAGGTTTATAGCAGCATTATTCATAATGGCCCAAAGTGGAAACACTCCAAATGCCCATCAGCTGATAATGGATAAATAAAACATAGTATATCCATACAATGAAATATGAATTGGCCCTACAGATGAAGAGAGTACTCACATATGATACAACACAGATGAACCTTGAAAACATTATGCTAATGAAAGAAGCCAGTCACAAAAGACCACATGTTATTCCATTTATATGAAATATCTGGAATAGGTAAGTCCATAGAGACAGAAAGTGCATTAGTGGTTGTTTAGGGGAGCTGGGGACAGGGGGAATGTGAGACGTAAATGCTAAGGGTGAGGGTTTCTTTCTGGGGTGATGAAATGTTTTAAAACTGATTATAGTGATGGTCACAAAACTCAGTAAATATACTAAAAGCCACTGAATTGTACATTTTAAATGGGTGAATTGTATCATTTGTGAACTATATCTCGAAAAGCTTCTACCAAAAAAATCCTTAAAAACAGAACTTTCCAACCTGTTTTTAAAATTTCCAAACAATGTATACATAAAGACAATTCAATTAATTTGTAAGAACTTCACTGATGAATGCAAAGAAGGTAGAGACTTAGTTACTGAGTCTCACCAAAGATCCTAGCACCATTAGTAGATACAACTGAAAAATGAGGCCGAGTGAGGTGGCTCACATCTGTAATTCCAGTGCTCTGAGAGGCAGAGGTGGGAGGATTGCTTGTCACCAGAAGTTTGAGACCAGCCTGGGCAACATAGTTACCCCATCTCTACAAAAAATACAAAAACTAGCCAAGCATGGTGGCACACACCTGTAGTCCCAACTATTCCATAGGCTGAGCAGGAGGACCCCTTGAGCCCAGGAGATCCAAGCTGCAGTGAGCCATGTTGTGCTACTGCACTCCAGCCTGGGCGACCAAGGAGACCTTGACTTGAAAAAGACAAAACAGGCTGGGCACCGTGGCTCATACCTGTAATCTCAGCACTTTGAGAGGCTGAGGCAGGAGGATCGCTTGAGCCCAGGAGTTCAAGATCAGCCAGGGCAACATAGCAAGACCCTGTCTCTACAAAGAAAATACAAAAATTAGCCAGGTACAGTGATATGGGCGTGTAGTTCCAGCTATTCAGGAGGCTGAGGTGGGAGAATTGTGTGAGCCTGGGAGGTCAAGGCTGCAGTGAGCTGTGATGCCACTGTGCTCTAGCAAGACTGTCTCAAATTAAAAAAGAAAAGAAAAAGAAAAAAGAAAAATTAGTAATGAGGCTTAGTGAAGGCTTAGTACATCCCATCAACCATGTGTGGCTTCTACTTGGATCCAGTGTATCTTCTTTAAGGGTGGCAACCGTTAAACCCAAATATTCAAATAACTAGACTTAATCCAGGCCTTTGAATCACCACATTACCCAGAGTTGAGTCAGGATTTTAGAAGAAAATAAAAGCTATCCAAACACACTTCTTCACTGAGAGGAAACAATTTCTGGACTCTTTCATAAATAAATTATATTTTAAAATATTGTTTATTGCATCATTTTAATTTCTGTTTTGTGTATATTTTATCATAGAAAATATACTAACACGGTTGTGTATAAACACAATAAATCATACATCTCCTTTGGGGATGCATGTCCCAAACCTTTTTGCTGATACAATCCGAGGCTGTGGAGACCTAGGTTTAGAGGAAGAAGCTGAAGTTGGGAAGTTGGGAACTTCCATCTTTTCCCTTACTTCCTGTATGATTCAGAGTAATGGGTGCAAATGTGAGGGGGCTGAGCCACACTCAGGCCACCCTGAGAAGGAGTTTGCAGTGAGGATTGAGGGAGCCCGGGCCTGGAATACAAGCAGTGGCTGGGGCAGACTGGACTCAGGCCTCACTCTTATGGCCCTCGCAGCTCCATGCCTGCTGTCTGTCATGGTCTGCTTAGGGATGCAGAGAGCTGGACGGCTGGTGTAGCTGACGGCCTGTCATCTCTTGAGCAGAACCTGTTAGGCCGTCCAGCCTGCAGTGGGGCACACCTCTGGTTCAGGTATAGCCACCCCTGTATACAAACACACATACACACGCACACACACACATACTACCTGGAGCTGCTTCCTTCACAGAGCGGGGAGTGAGCTGGAAGCTGGGGTCAGGCGGTGTCAGTTGGAGAAGGTGGCTCCCACAGCAGGCATTGTGCTTGACAGGTTTCCTACAATAGACAAAAACCATCTGAGGGCTGGCAGGGACCCTGAAACAGGCCATGTTCTCCATCTCTGATTTCTACAATTTGGGGATATCACTGCCCACCCTTTCTGGAGCCGTGTGGTCCCATGAGCTTGAGGCAGAAGGCCTGGAGTCTCGTGCCAGCTCCACTCAAGGAGCTCGGGCTCTCAGCACCTGCAGCTCCTCATGAGCAGAGCACATGGACGCGTCACCAGTCATTACGACGATTAAGGGAAAGAGTCATTAAGTGGATCTGAATATTCCTGATATTGCAATACAGACCAGTAGAGCCAATAAACTCCACGGCCTGTGTTCTTCCTAACAAGCCCCTTTTGTTCAGGATTCAGGGCCTCAATGGAAAAGCATCCAGAAATATCCCATGCCTCCTCAGATCGGTGATACCTCAAATGTTACCTTAAAAACTACGTGACAGGTATTCCTGACACCCGAAGGACAGGTACGGCATAGAACTTCAGATTCTCAGAGCTCAAAGGACGCTTGGCCTAATCCTAACTCTCCATTTTATGTATAAGGAAATTGGGGTCCCTGGGGAGAAGCAACTTGCCCAAGGACACTTACAGCTGCATGGACATGAAAGATAGTCCTCGTGATACAAGCCAGTGTTCCCAAAGTGCCCTGCCATTAAACATTATTGGAAAATAACGAAAGAAAACAGCCCTTGCCACATACCACACATTATCTAAAGCAATGTTTCCAAACTGCAAGTCATAACATTTTCTTGAGAAATCACTTTTGTAGATTGAAACTAGGATTTTATTAACAAAAATATAACATGGAATAGAAAACACCAAAGTGAGTACAGTCAGTCCTCCACATCTGCAGGTCACACGTCCGTGGATTCAACCAAATAGAGGTCAAAAGTATTGGGAGAATAAACTGTGTCTATACTGAACATGTACAGATGTTTTTTCTTGTCATTATTCCCTAAACAATACAGTATAACAATGATTTCCACAGCATTTACATTACATTAGGTATCATAAGTAATCTGGAGGCAATTCAAAGCATACAGATGGATGCTCATAGGTTACATGCTTCTACTACACCATTTTATAACAGGGACTTGAGCATCCATGGATTTTGGTATCCTCAAGGGATCCTAGAACCAAATCCCCATGGATACCAAGGAACAACGATACATCATTGAGGATAAGTATTTTTTCCAGAAACTTTTGTTTTGCTTTTACATGCACATATACATACAAATGGCATGTACACACACACACACACACACACACACACAGACACACATACACAGGCACGGATATGCCTATCAATACTGGGTATATATGTATTGATTTACACTGTAAGATCCATTTCTTACTATCGTAGTCTTCAAAAAAGCATGCAAGCTTTCTTAAATTTAGTCCCCAGTTATCTTGGGACTAAATCTGCAATAAGCGTCATCAATGGAAAGAGAGGTTCTTTATGCATACACAAAAGGGGTGCTGTCCAGGTGCCGACCTGGGGGTGGAAGCAGACACTGGAATTACCTGGGCAATTTCTGCCACAGGTGAGTTTATCAGAAACTAACGTGGAAGACTACAGGTACCTGCAAAACCAGACGGTCCACTTTTTAGCCTCAGGCCACCATTGCTGCCTCACCTGAGGACATAGCAGTAGTGCCAAGCAAGGACTGGTCCAGCCAGGACCATCCCAGCTCAGGTCCCCTTGGCCTGGCATCCTCTCCTGGGGACTCAGCCTCCCAAGGATCACGAGGATATTAGGTCCTAGGTTCCCTGCACCTGCCAATGGTAGGAAGATTCCTGGGCGTTCGTCAGGGGGCCCACTTTCTCCATGTGATAGAGGACAGGTTCATGGTGTTAGGTTTCAGTTCCTGGAAACAGGATATCCTCCCTTCCCTTCTCTGGCCTGCCTGGGTGCAGTGGGCTGTGGACAACAAGGATGGTCAGCAATTTTGTGGGTCTTACACACCTCAAGGGAGCTTCTGCAAAGGGATTTGGTAGAAATATTTCTTGAAGTAAACGGGCCGCTGGCAAGGGCTTGACAGTTAACCTGGGAATTTATGCACCGATGTTACAATCCCAGAGTACAAACCTGGGAGAGCCTGGCTAGACCCTCTCAGCCACAAGTCAGCAAACGTGTCTGTAAAGGGTCAGAGAGTAAATGTGGAGGCTTTGCAGGCTATATGATCCCTGTCACAACTATTCAACTCTGCTACTGTAAAGCGAAAACAACATAAACAGGAAGTAAGCACACAGGCAGCAGTGTGCCGATCAAACCGCACCCACAGCCACAGGCAGTGGGCCAGAGGTGACCCACTAGCCACAGCCGGCCGACCCTGCTCCAGTACAATCCCTTCTTTTTATAGCTTCAGAAGTTGAGACCAAGGAGAGGAAAAGGCAGTCAAGCCCCCCAAGTACTCACTGCTGGGCACGAGTTTCTGTTACACGGAGCCTCAGGCAAGAGAACCCTTTTGCTAAGTAATTTTGTGCTTCCTGAGAAATGGAATTCCTGGCCCCCTCTTGCCCTGGGCAGCAACTCAAAGTGAAGTTAAATTGCCGGGACCTGGAGTTTGTCACCCTGAGTTCAGATTCTGGCTTTGTCACAAGTCGCCTAACATTTCTAAACTTCAGTTTCCTTTTCTGTAGAAAATGAACAATAAAAACGACTTCAGCCGTGATTGTACTCAAGTATGGAGCAGTAAAGAAAAGCAAGGTCAAGTATGGAAAGCCAAGCATATAGTAAGTGAATGTCAGTCATTGTTTTCTTTCTTTTTTTGAAACAGAGTCTTGCTCTATCACCCAGGCTGGAGTGCAGCGGCGCGATCTCAGCTCACTGCAACCTCCATTTCCCAGGTTCAAGCAATTCTCCTGCCTCAGTCTCCCGAGTAGCTGGGATTACAGGTGCCCGCCACCACTCCCAGTTAATTTTTGTATTTTTAGTAGAGATGGGGTTTCACCATGTTGGCCAGGCTGGTCTTGAACTCCTGACCTCAAAAGATCCACCCGTCTCAGTCTCCCAAAGTGCTGGGATTACAGGAGTGAGCCACCGAGCCCGGCCCAGTCATTGTCTTCAATACCTCAAAGTTAAATGCTCATGCCTGTTTTCAAGCACCCCAATAATCTACCCCACCCTACCAACACTTCAAAAGAGTCAAAGCTAACACATGTGAACTTACTTTGAAAACTGTAAAACACCATGTGAGACAGCATCATGTCCTAATCTTTAATACACTCTTTCTGTTCAGATGTCTCCTTCCATGAATATACCACACCCATTCCCTCCTACATTCATTTGTCATGCATTTAGTGAGCACTTTGGAGCCAGAAACCTCTAGGCAGGTTGGAGTGTGCAGGATCTAGTCATATTGCTCCGCTCACCACTTGCAAAGACATTATCAATTCCCTTACATACTCAAGTCCTATCTCTCCTCCAGATTCAAGCATTAGTTTTTCCAGGCTGCTGCATTTTGCCTTCTACTGTCTATTGCTATTCTTACCCTTCTGATATTTTCTGTATTACGAGGGCTGGTACCCTGAAACTTGCATGTCTTATACTTTTTCTTTTTTTTTTTTTTTTTTTTTTTTTTTTTCTTATTTTTAGTAGAGACCGGGTCTTGCCATGTTCCCCAGGCTGGTCTTGAACTCCTGGCCTTCAGCAATTGCATGTCTTTTACTTTCTTTACAGGAAGGTTCTAGTCTAGCTTCTGCCATTGAGAGGCACTGGCAGGTAGCTGATATTTGGAAGATGAAAGCAAAGGATAAAGCATTATTCTTCTCTAACAGCAGTGGTTAGGTGTGTGATCAGATGGCAGACACAGGGTTTGTAGTGTCTAGGAGAGCTCCAGTGAGTTACCTGCCTTAATTCAGCAGATAGCCGACTTCCTAGAGGTAGCATCCTACAATTCTAGCACTTTCTAATTTCCTCAAATCCAACAGCTATTCTTGACTTTTGTTCCTCCAACATTTCCAACAATTTTGTAATTGCATCATTCTTTATATTAAACCTTTTTTCTACTAAAATAAAGAGTGGTTATACTATTAATAATTATGAGTGCCCTTTTTTTTCAGGAATAAAACTTGCTATAAGCAAACAACTGCCTTTATGATTCTATTCCATTAGTGTCAGGCTTCTTAGCTCCCAAATTACGTTGTAAAGTCACTGAGCCCAGGGACGGTGTCTTATATTCCACGTCCACAGCATCAAGTCTAGGGCTGGGCATGTAGCTGATTAAATAACATGAGGCATCCAGGTGCCCAAGTCTGTCACCTGTCATTCAAAAAATATTCAGTGATCTCTTTCTTAGGTCAGGCTCCCAGGAAACAGACACTCAGGATGGAGGTTTGCCTGCAGAAAGCTGACTGAGGATCAACACCAGCGGAGGACGAGAAGGAAGCAAGGGTGGGCAGAGGAAGGAGTTCAGCTTTGATGCAGCCACAACAAAAGCCACAAATGTCCCCACAAGAAGACCTGGAACTAAGATGGCCATTTAGAGGTGTCCCTTCCCACTTATTGGCAAGGTGATATTTATCCCCCGTCGACCAGCCATTGAATGTGGGCTGCCCCCAGGAAGGAGAGAGGGCCTTAAGTGAGGCTCTTGACCACTAAGGGCAACTCCTAGAAAGAGCTTCAGTTAAAAGCCTTGAGCCAGAGCTGTCAGCTACACAGAGTTCCATTAGCTGTGGGAATCAATGTTCAGTCCTAAAGGAGGGTGCTGCATGGCATACCGCAGAATCCACTAGAATCCCATCTAGGCATCAGGCACTATATAATAACTAGTAGGTTGAATTATACGAAATTGCTCGTGTTCAACTGGTTTTACCTCCAAAATAGGCAATCGTATATGATTTGATCTAATAACATTACTAAAGTCTGCTATATCTTACAAAATACTTTCATACAAATGGCTGTACTTGATCCTCATGTCAACCATGTAGGATGGGTGTTCTTATCAACAGTTTGTTATATCTGAGAAACCTAAGGCCCAAAGAGGCCTGGGGCCTTGCCCAGTCATACATCTGGTAACTTTGGAGCTTGTTTTAGACACAAATTCTGACTTCAAATCCAGCAGCCTTTTTCTCACATAATACATGGAGGAAAAAACGTCTGTGGCCTTGAATTTCTTTCTCTCATAAGTCTTACTGCCACATGACCTCAAAATGAACCAACCATGCATCATATCTCCCTTTTTCGTAGTTCTAACCAGACCCTCTCAGCCAAAGAAGATTCCATTCCCAGCTGGAAATGCTGTCTCGGAGCAGGAATGAAGAGCCTCTCTCATTGGAATTGCCCATGAGGACAAATGCACCCCCCACTTCCGCTATCTGTAGAATCTACAGTGCTCTTTGCACCTCTGTTATGCCCAGGGGAGGCCCATTTCCCTGAGGAGGAGAAGAGACTTCAAACTGCAAAAGCCTGGATCACAGCTGCTTTGAGAGGTGAATATATACATAACTTCCCATCACTAAGCAAATGAGCAATCTGCTTCTGGTCCTGGTCTTTCTCAGCTCCTGCTCCAACAGACTATGTCCTGCAGCGACACTAGAAAAACCACAACAGGTGGAGCAGGATTCTTGGGGAAACCCAACTGCAAAATGCATGAGCTGCATTGTTCATCTCAGGTGTTGTCAACTGCCCCAGGGTGGAATACACACAACCCCCATCTGGGTAGAGCAGAAAGCACACAAGGGTCTTTGGAAGCAGTTGGTTGCTAGAGGCCGGATAAAGCATTGTTCTGGAGTGCACTGTCTCCTCCAGGCCAATGAGAAGCAGTTTTTACACATGCCAGTAGCTTGGGGTTGGGTCTCAGAGGCCAACAACGAATAAGCCTTTACCTCCATGATGTCATTGCTTCCAATGTGGAATCTCATTGGCTGAAGGGCTTGTCACTCACTCACCAATGCTTTACAGGGATGGAATTCTGTGGAGTCCAAGGTTTTCTCACATAATGGGAGGCTCCCTTAATCCCTGGTTGAATTTGGCTGCTGTTTTTCTCTCCTACAGCTCAGTTCTGAATTATACACACAGCTTGTGGGTATCTTGGGGTTTTGTGCATTTTACTTTTACCAGCATATAAAAGCCCCTCAATTAGTAGTCTTGCCAAAACAGTAAATATTTTCTGGACATTAATGCTGCATAACTTTCAGAGATTCCTGCTGTTGTTTTTATTACCCCCATTTTGTCCGTGAGAAAGGACAGCCTGGAGCAGAAAAACTTCCCAGTCGCATTGATTCTAGGGTGAGAACTGTGAGCCTCAGGATACAGATTTTAAAAGCAGAAAGCAAAAAAAGGAGGCACACAGGTCTAAGCTGTGGCTCTTCCAGTATTTTCTGGGCTGCTGATCCAACGACTCCCACTTCACGTTGTGCATTAACTCTGCGGCCTGCTGCCCCACCCAGGCCTGTGCCCCCGACAGGGGCCTGTGTGCAGGACAGTATTGCAGGAGAAGCGTGTTTTAGGGCCAGTTGCATGATCTGGAGCAAGTTAGCATGCCTGTGTGAACTCCAGCTTCCACACTGTAAAATGAGCCTAACAGGGTCTCCCTGACAAAGCGGTTGCCAGGACTAGAGGAGGTCACTTGCCTGAGTCCCAAGCACAAAGTTGGTGCTCAATAAACAGCAACTGGCTTCAGGGTGGTGTCTGTCCCAGACAAATGCTCTTCAGGGGTGCTGAGGGTTCCTCCAGTCCATAACAGGACAGCAGAGAGTGCCTGCAGGAGACTGTGGCGAGGTGGCTTCCTGGTGCTGGCCTCGGGCAGAGCGGAGGACCACTTATCCAAGAACACAGACTCAGAATTGCCCATGTGAACGTCATAAGTTTCTCCAGGACAGTGGGGCCCCACCAGCGTGGGGGTCACACTTCTTACAAAGGTTGTATGTGGAACACACTGTTTTCCATCCAAGCAATGTGCCAGCCAGAACTTCACTGAGTCAGCGGCCTGGGGAACTGGAGACATTTCTCTTCTCTGGCACATATGGGGGCTCCCTACACTTGAGAGAAGTGGGAAAGGAGTAAAGAAAAAAATTCCTGGACTTTTATAACCAAAAAATATACTTCTGTTTAGTGTGGCATTAGGTCTGGACACCAGAAAACCCACCAGGGATATGTGTGCTGGATGTGTACCTTTCATTTAACTTGAGGACAAAACGAGGCAACGTCATTCCAGAGAAGCAGTGCAGAGATAAGCCCCAGCCAGGGCCTTTTGGGAGAGGAAGGAGTGGGTGGAGGGGGGGCACTGCCTGGTGGGTGACGAAGGGGCTCCATGATCAAACACTGCAGTTCTCCCACTCTCTCTGCCTTTCCCCTCCCTCTGAGCCCCTTACCCAGTCACCAGTACAACTCCCCTGCCAGCCCCCCACCAGCTTATGCCACTCAAAGGAACAAAACAATGCTCACAGAGTCAGCTCAGATCACACAGTCAGCTCGGAAACAGGAAAGCCTGCTAGCTTTTTGCCCAGGGTGAAGGAGAAACGAAGTAGAGAGTGCAGCCTGGGCCCCACTGCTCCATATTCACCACCCGTCAGTGCTCAGGGGGCTGAAATGTGCAAATACAGCACCTCTCAGGCCGGGCGGGTACAAACCATAAGGACAAAGTGACGGCATGTCGCACTCAGCCTCTGAAACTCAGCTGAAAATTCTAGAATGCTCTCTTTAACACAATCATCTGAATGCTACGAAGGAGCTTTGGTAAGGTTCCCAAGTCCTATAATTAGTCATGCTTTGCTGCAAGGCTGTTTTCAATTTACAGCGCTGCTCACACTCAAGCATGCCCTCACATTTGGCACGTGTATATCTGAGTACCTTCTGCCTCTATAAATGTGTCTCTTAGAGGCTTACTACTTGAGAAGCTTAACTCCTTGCTCAGTGGAGACACAGAAATGCTGGCAGCCGGCTTAGGGGCTCTCCTCCACCGTAAGAGCCCCGTTTACTCCCCACTGTCCTGAGCACACAGGCTCTGTCATAGCCGTCACCCAAGCAATGAAGTAGTGCCTCTTTTTTTTCCCACAGATGAGGATTCTGATAGCTGGAGAAGAACTTTCAAGACAACACAAATGCTCAGTGCTGGAATTGCGATTTCAGCTTGGGCCTGTCTGGCTTCTTTTCTGCTACATTACCTCAAATCCAGAGATGGAGCAACGGTTGCTCCTTAACGCTCTATCACCCAGCCTCCCTGGGGAGCACAAATCCTGTTTCCAAGCCAGGCTGGGACTGGATGGAGAGCCACTCAGGGCTCTCCCACTTTGCAGCAATTATGGGTAAACCATGACTTGCGAACAGCTCCCCTTCCACACTTCTGTCACTGTTGCTGACATGTGAGTGGCGGCCATGCACCAACCAGAGGGCCAGCTGGGCGAGCTGCAGTCGCTGGTGCGTCCCCTGGCCTCTGCATCAGCAGCAGGAGAGAGCCCTTTAGATGGTCTGAACCAAGTGTCCCCTTCCCTCCTCCTTATCGTCTTTGGCTGAATTTCCCCAAGGTCTTCACTCACCTCAACCCCCAACCCTAAGCATCCCCTCCTGGCACACTCCTGCAGTGGCCAATATGCTCAGACCCTTCGCCAAGTCTTGAGCCTGGCTCTGAATTCCATAACTCAAAAGGTAGGTGGACAGCCCTCCTCAGCATTCTGTGGTTGACATAAGTGCCCACCAGGCCCTCCACCTTGATGAGCTGAAGAAGGAAGCCAGTGAGATGCTTCCTACACCAAGAGATGGGGCATGAGAGGCTCTCACAGTGCAGGCCTGGCAGCAGTGCAGATTTCTTACAGGGCATCTGCCCCTCTTCTCTCTGGACCCTGAGCAGCTCTCACTGGAACCATTGCCAGGAACAGCCAGGGTTTATCATTTCAAACAACCAACCTTCACCCCTTCACTGAGCATCAATCACAGACTCAATGCTGCATAGGAGGTACACTGACCCTCAGCTGGCCTGTTAACCTGAATTTAAGAGAACATGTAGGCCAAGGCAGGAGAATTGCGTGAGGCCAGGAGTTCGAAACCAGCCTGGGCAACATAGCAAGACTCTCATCTCTACAAAAAATCTAGAAAATCGGCCAGGCGTGGTGGCATATGCCTGTAGTGTCAGCTACTCAGAAGGCTGAGGCAGTAGAATCACTTGAATCCAGGAGTTCAAGATGACAGAGAGCTATGATTGTACCACTACACTCCGGCCTGGGTGATGGAGCAAGACTCTGTCTCTAAAAGAGTGAGAGCGAGAGAAAGAGAGAGAGAGAGAGGGAGGATGCAAATCACTAAGCGCATGTGGACAGGAGCTCTGCAGCCCACCAGGTGAACTTCCAAGGTAGACTGGCTGAATGAGCAGCAAGTCTCCTCAGACACTCAGCTGTGGCCCTGCTCCTCCCTCTAGGCAGACATTAGTTTCTGCTGCAGAGAATAACAACACACAGTGCAAGATCACCACGTTACAGCTTTTCCCAGGGCAGAATGTTGCATGCTGGGTGCCACAGAAGAACAGCCTTTCCCTCCCATCTATCAGAGCATGAATATCAAACATTGATCTTGTCCTCTCCTTGACCAGGATAATTCAATTCTGTTCTCAATGTTGGCTCCACTTCAGCCTCTGGAAGGAACTTCATCATGGACTGTCGGATCCAGCCAGCAGGCACTGGAAGTGCCAAGGATCTAGGTCATGATGTTTTTTCTATGGAGATGCTGCAGCAATTAATTCCTGGTCAGACCCCTACTAAAACCACAGGAAATCACTGCCATCTTCAGTGTACTGGACTGTGAATGGCACTCATGTAAAGGTATTTTGCTGAATTCTATATGGTTCTACACATAATAATTCTAATTTATTACACTCTCAATTCCCCAGCAGCAGAGGTGGCACACACTTGCCGAGTGTCAATGCAATGCTGATGGTTGCCCAGTGACAATGCAAATTAAGGATGAACTCCAGCCTTCTAAAGATTCTACCATGTCATCTACAAGTCCTTCCTAAAGAGTTTTCCTTAAATGAGCAAGACTCTTCAACCACTTTCCAAGTCTCTTGATTGTGGCCAAAAGACAAATTCCAGGAAGCCAAGGTGGGAAGATTGCTTGACGTCAGGAGTTTGAGGCTGCAGTGAGCTATAATTGTGCCACTGCACTCCAGCCTGGGCAACAGAGAAAGACCCCATCTCGAAAAAATGAAAAGAAAAGAAAATAAAATTAAGTGAAGAAAGGAGCTCTGGCTTCCATTCTCACCTCTAATTGGAAACAACGAAGAGAGTTTCCATAATGAGTCTGGGTCATTTCCCCTCCTTGTGGCGCATAGGTCTAGCAAGGAACCAGTTGGGCAGGATAGCTTATCAGACCTAACTCCCTTGTCCCCAGCTCTCTTACCTGACTGGAGCACCCTGCCTGCAGTTGGACATAGTGAAGTCACCAAGTCTAGGAATTATCTAGACACAGGGAGTTCTAAGTAATTTATTTATTTAACAAACATTTACCTAACACTTACTAAGTTCCAGGTCTCATCTAAGCACTTTACATGTGCTAGTTCCTTGAGCCTCAAAAGAGTCTTATTAGGTAGAGCCTATCATAGTCTTCATTTTAAAAATAATGGATCTCCTGTCACCACTCCTTTTCAATATCATACTGGAAGTCCTAGTTAATGCAACAAGAAAAAAAAGGAAATAAAAAGTATAAGAATAAGAAGAAAGAAATAAAACTGGTTTTGCTTGCAGATGACGTGATGTCTGTGTAGAAAATCTGAAAGAACAGAAACAACAAAAATCTGAAACTAAAACCCAACTATAGCAAGGTTGCAAGATACAAGATTAATATACAAAAGTCAATTGCTTTCCTATGACTCAGCAATAAACAAGTGGAATTTGATATTAAAAACATAATACTGTTTATAGTACTGTGAAGCAAGTTTACTGTGCAATGATTATTTGCCCAAGTCCAGTGAGACAGAACACTCATGCATGCAAGTTACACAAAACAGGTTTATTACTCACAGATAGGCAGTAAGGGACAACAGAAGCCTAGGATTCATGACAAGCCAGTCCCCCAAAGCTCAGAAAAGCTGCCCAGGGTAGATGAAGACTCGACTGCACGTGACCCCACTTGCACCACAGCCAAGGAACCCCAGAAAGCAGCCTACCTTGGGTTTTATCCTCCCCAAGGGAACACAACATGCTAGACTAAGGCACTGAAGGACATCCTGCTCTTAGGGGGAACAGGAACGAAGCCTGACTGTTCCAACCAGCTCCTCCTCATCTTGGCATGTTGTACTCCCAGCATAAGAACTCCCAGCATTGAGAACTCCAAACAAGAAAGGGGGAAGAACTGGGTCAGTCTGAGGCCATGTGAAAAACTTCCCAGCAATTAGCACCCTCCAAAATGTAACACTTAGGTACAAATCTAACAAAATATGTGCAAGATCTATCTGAGGAAAACTACAAAAAAAAAAAATGGAAAAGTGAGGCCAAGCTCGGTGGCTCATGCGTGTAATCCCAGCACTTTGGGAGACCAAGGCAGGCAGATCATGAGGTCAGAGGATCAAGACCATCCTGGCTAACATGGTGAAACCCCATCTCTACTAAAAATACAAAAATACTAGCTGGGCGTGGTGGCGGGCACCTGTAGTCCCAGATACTCAGAAGGCTGAGGCAGGAGAACAGCATGAACCCAGGAGGTGGAGCTTGCAGTGAGCCAAGATAGCGCCACTGCACTCCAGCCTGAGCAACACAGCGAGACTCCTTCTCAAGAAAAAAAAATGGAAAAATAAGGCAACGAGAGGTTGAGTCACTTGCCTAAGTTCACACAGCTTCTATCAGGGAAGGGGTGGGTGGGTAGGATATGAAACTACAGAGCCTGACTCTGACATCCGTGGTTATAACCCCATACCATGCTGCCTTGCTGGTGAGGTTTATAGGTATTTATGCTGTCCATGAAACAAAAAAGTCAAGCTTTTAAAGAATTAGTTTTATTATATTGAGAGGTATTGCTGAGAACAACAGACCAAGGCCTGTCAGACTGGCCCATCAGACTGCTCCGGTACAGTATTTCGGCCCACTGCTTATATACAGGTCCTGGGGGTTCAGGACATGCAAAATTGCATCAGATTTGCTCAGAAGTTACATTGAAGCAAAATCACATCAAAGTCTGGGTGTAAAAGTACATCTGGTTACAAATTACAGAAGCGTAACCACTAGCCTCGTCACTCCTTATCTTATGTGGAGGAAAAGGCAAGGACTAGGGTCATTTATCTTTTAAGGAATGTAGTGATTCAGGCAAGAGGGGTGGGGGACTGTGTGCTCTATCCTGTTTTGTCTTTAAAGAATCTTTCCAGAGAACTGAACCTCGTCACAGAGCCAGGGGCTTTGAGAAATTCTGCTGGCAAGCAGAAACTAGCAAACATGGCTTCTTACGCTTGCTACTTTGTCTCACCATGCCCAAGGCACCAAGGACTTAGACTCTACCCTGCTCTCCAGTGATTCTAAGCCATCAGGTATGAGAGCTGGGAAGGATGGCTGGATTGGTTCATCAAGCTCAGCATTCGCATTTAATTGATGAGGAAGCTGAGGCCTTCAGAAAGGAACTTCCCCGAGGTCACTACATAGCCACAGATCCAGTTTAGATCCTAGAAAGAGCACATATGCTTGCAGAACACCTGCAATGCTGATGAAACCCTTGTACTGGTGAGGTGGGCTTGGCTATAGTGCACTGACCACCAGTTCTGGAACCTCAATGGCTTAACACAACAAGAGTCTACTTCTTGGGTCAGGCACAGTGGCTCACGCCTGTAATCCCAGCACTTTGGGCAGCCAAGGTGAGCAGATCACCTGAGGTCAGGAGTTCAAGACCAGCCTGGTCAACATGGTGAAACCCCATCTCTACTAAAAATACAATAATTAGCAGGGTGTGGTGATGGGCACCTGTAATCCCAGCTATTTGGGAGGCTGAGGCAGGAGAATCGCTTGAACCCAGGAGGTGGAGGTTGCAGTGAGCCGAGGTAGTGCCATTGCACTCCAGCCTGGGTGACAGAGCAAGACTCTGTCTCAAAAAATAAATAAATAAATAAATAAATAAATATTTTTTGATCGAGTATAATCCAAGTCCAAATGTAGGCAGAGTGCAGAGAAGAGCTCCTCCACACACGGCACAGCCTGGGTTCCTCTGCCCTCCACCATCTCAACACATGGTCCCTGTTGCTCCAGATGAAGGAATGGAGCCTGGGAATGGGTTCAACCCTGTGGATTCTCTGCCCACATCCAACTGGCCAGAGCCCAGTCACATGGTCTCACCTTACTGCAAGGGAGGCTGGGAAATGTAGGCTAGGAAGAGTAAACTGAAATGAGAATTGGCAAACACTTAACAGTCTGCCCTTTATATACATTATCTCATTAAACCTTTGTAGCACTGTAGGGGAGCATTATCCCCACTTGTATAGTTGAGAAAACTGAAGCTCAGGGTGATTAAATAAACTGCCCCATCTTCACCATATTAGTGGATAGTGGAGTCACAATTAAAATTGAAGTCTTGGGACTGGGTGTGGTGGCTCATACCTGTAATTCCAGCACTTTGGGAGGCCGAGGCAAGTGGATCACTTGAGACCAGGAGTTCCAGTCCAGCCTGGCCAACATGGCGAAACCTTATCTCTACTGAAAATACAAAAATTAGCCAGGCACAGTGGCAGGCACCTATAATCCCAGATACTCAGGAGGCTGAGGTAGGAGAATCACTTGAACCCAGGAGGTTCAAGTTCAGAACCTCTGAACCCAGGAGGCAGAGGTTGCAATAAGCCAAGATCACACCACTGCACTCCGGCCTGGGTGACAGAACCAGACTCCGTCTCAATACATACATACATACATACATACATACATTTGAAGTATTTAGGTCTCCACAACTCTCTGTTCTTCGTACCACACCAAATGTGCTCTACATGAATTTCTTGACTCCTATCTTAGTATTCTTTTCACTACTCCATTCTACTATGTGAGAGTAAAGATAGACAGATGTATCCTCCCCAGCTTGTAGCCAAGGATGTTGCTATTCTCTCAAATGCTATAAGTGAGGGTATAAATTAGCAAAATGTCTTTAGAGAGAAGCTTGTTAATATCTATGAAAATTATAAATGTGCATATTTTTGAACTAGCAATTATATTTCCAGGAAATTCTCCTACAGATAAATTTTCAAAAGTGTAAAATGACATTTTGCATAAAAATATTGATTGAAGTATTGTCTGTAACAGCAAAAGAACTGAAAAAAAAAAGTCTGAAAAGAGGAGACTCCTAAAATAAATGCTGAAACATCCATTTAGTAAAATACAACAAAAACAATGCCCCCTTAAAAATAATGTGAGATGGCCAGGGACAGTGGCTCATGCCTGTAATCCCAGCACTTTGGGAGGCCGAGGCGGTCAAATCACAAGGTCAGGAGATCAAGACCATCCTGGCTGACATGGTGAAACCCCATCTCTACTAAAAAAAATTTTAAAAATAGTGGGGCATGGTGGCAGGCACCTGTAGTCCCAGCTACTCAGGAGGCTGAGGCAGGAGAATGGTGTGAACCCAGGAGGTGGAGCTTGCAGTGAGCCAAGATCAGGCCACTGCACTCCAGCCTGAGTGACAGAGCGAGACTCCGTCTCGAAAAATAATAATAATAATAATAATGTGAGCTGTCTCTACATGCCAACAGGGAAAATGTATGCTGCATGTGGATAAGTGGAAAAAAGCAATTATATATGACATTATTTCATTTGTGCAAAAAAAAGGAAGTATATGCATATATATGCATACAAAGTATTTGAAAGCATTCCCAAGAAAGCATTAAAAAGTAGACAATTCTGAAGAGTAGGATCAGGAGAAATTCTTACTTAATAACTTTTTTTTTTTTGAGACAGGGTCTTGCTTTGTCACTCAGGCTGGAGTGTAGCAGCGTGATCATGGCTCACTGCAGCCTCGACCTCAGGGGCTCAAGTGATTCTCCTGCCTCAGCTTCCCAAGTAGCTAAGACCACAGGTGCATGTCACCATGCCCAGTTAACTTTTTTTTTTTTAAGTAAAGATGAAGTCTCACTATCTTGCCCAGGCTGCTCTTGAACTCCTGAGCCCAAGCAGTCTTCCCACTTCGGCCTCCCAAAGTGCTGGGATTATGGGTGTGAGCCACTGCACCCAACCACTTAATAACTTTTGACTATTAATGTTTATGATAAGCACAAATTACTTCTATAAATGAAAGCACTATTTTAAAAATATGCTATTGTTGCCAGCTCTGTAACTGCATGCAATGTTCTGATTCAACCTGATATCTGACAATGTCTTGCAGGTATAATCTGAATATATATAAATTAAATATATAATTTAAATACATATATTTAAATTCACTCTGCTGATTGCCAAATGCAGAAGTGCCTAAGTCTCCTCCTTTGGTGAGTCTGGAATGGCTGTAAAGGACAGGCCTTGGTGGAGGTGAATTAACACATTTCCACATCAGCTACGTAGGAGCTCACCCAACTGCTCTGCAGATTAGCTGCCGCTGGCTCACACTTTCTCCTTGGACATCTTCAGGACAGCCCCAAAGCTACCAGAAACACTCGGAACTTGACTTAAAAAGAGCCTTGAAGCCCACGTCAGCTTCACAACGGCCCAAACCTATGCCAGAGCTTTCTGGAGCAATAACTACATTAAAGGGGATTGATGTATATACACTCACACACATATCTGCATGTATTCATGTGCTATATGCTGGGCACTACACTAAGACATTTAACTACAGTATTGAGGAATTATAGACAGGTTAGCATTGCCTAATTATAGAGAGATCTGGAAACTAGCTGGTGAGCCCTGTTTTGATGACAGTGGAAGCCTATGGCTAGGGAAGTGATATGGTGTGATGAGAGTACCCTTTGGGGAAGCTTGATTCTGGCTGTGGCCTGCAGTGAGCTGTGGGCAAGGAGGAAAGAAGGAATCTATTGGTTCTGACAATGAGAAACTGATCCCATGGTTTAAGAAAGTCATCAAATGTGTTCTCCTCTGCCAAGGCCCCAGGCCAACAGGCATATAAAAAGTATAATAATTCAGACTATACGAAATGCAATAATTCATTAAATAGGAAGAAATAGATCTCTAATATAAGTAACGGACTATAATGAATAGGTTCTTGTGTTATTTTATAATTCAACTGGTAAAAAAAGAATGCATCACTGAACTCACTGGAAAAATATTTAAATTTTGTGCTGATTTGACACAAAATAATGGCATTGATGAAAATAACATAAAACTCCTAACACATCATACAACTAGAGAGATATCCATGACAAATTGGTTAATAAGTTCTGCCAAAATAAAAAGTACTCAACATTAGCCACTGCACAAGAAAACTCAAACTGACCAGTATAAAGAATTTACTGTATGAATAAATATTAAAACAGAAAAAATTAATTTCTAATGATTCAAATGCTCACTCAGTGTGCTTATTTCACAAATAAGAAATTCAGTAAGGTGACTGCTTTTAAAATTAATATGGAGAAATAATTAATTCAATATCCTTCAATGAATGCAAATCGCAACCAGTTAGAAGATAAAGAGTAATTCACAATTTAAAAAAAGAAGGAAAAAATACTTAGAAATAAACTCAACAAGAAAATATTAAGATCTATATGAAATAAAAA